>NC_000003.12:168402543-168554058 GCF_000001405.40 Homo sapiens | reverse complement strand
GAATCACCTCAAATCTTTTCTGTAACTTAAAGAATGGTTTATTTAATGCTGTCCAAGTAGTAACACTCAATAACTGTGGGATCACTTGGTAATTGGCCAGCTTTTAGCTTTCAGCAGAAATTTAATTTGTTTTCATAGAAAATAAAGTGGCAACCATATAAATTGTTTAAAACTTGGAGAATTGTTTTAGTTAACTCTCTATTTTGTGAGTAGTTTATTGTATAAGAATGCTATGGTTTGAATGTTTGTGTTGCCCCCAAAATTTGTATATTGAAATCCTAACCTCCAAGTTGATGGCATTAGGAGGGGAGGCCTTTGGGAGGTGATTAAGTCACGGGCACAGACACCTCAAGAATGGAATTAGTGCCACTATAAAAGAGGCCTGAAGGAGTTGCTTGCCCTCTCTATCACGTAAGGACAAAGTGAGAAGATATTATCTAGGAACCATGAAACAGGCCCTCATTGAACAATGAATCTGCTGGTGCCTTGTTCTTAGAAATCCCAGCCTCCAGAGTTGTGAGAAAAAAATTATATAAGCTATCCAATTTATGGTATTGTGTTTGGTTTAGTAGCAGCCTAAAAGTACTAAGTCAAAACACATGGTGATGTATTAAAACTGCTCTAAAATACATAAACTTAAGCTACTAACCAAAACCTAGCAAATTCATAAGAGAATTGATAAAGATGAATTTGGTAAACTTGTAATCTATAAAAAATTATCTAAATAACTAAAGTACTCTAGAACTATGCTCTACAATATAGTAGCCACTGATCACACGCTGCTATATAAATTTAAAAATTTAGTTCATTGGCCATTTTTCAAGTGCCTTGTGGCTAATGTCTGTCAAATTAGTGCAGATTGTAGGTCATTTCTGTCAACACAGAAAAATCTACCAGACAGCACTTCTTTAGAATGTCCAGGGAGAAGCTCTTTCATTGAGATAATTCAAAGAAAACCATGTTTATCCAATGCATTTTCCAAAAAAGGAAAAGCCTTGGCGAAGAATTTGGTTTATTCTTCTCAGAACCTAACAAAATGGGGAAATGTCCTTGATTAATTTTGTGTGTTTATAAATTAAGGTACCTTAAGTGGAACAAAGAAATACCATTTATAAATAGAAAATGTATTACAAATATGAAAGTCAATTAAGGAAATACAAAATAAATCTTTGGAAATGACTTTCATATTTTTCTCACAGCCTACCAAAATCCATGGCCAGGAGATATGTAATATATACTTGGCAGAACTTGCCTTTATAGCTTAATTTTCTGTGCCAAAGATACAGGCCTTCAGAATTCTTGTTGAGAAAATAAAAAGTAATTGTGAAATGGTTCCTCTGGCCTAAGGGATGACAACATACATCAACACCATTATACCCTCCCTACCCACCCACAAAAGTTTTTAAAGAGTATAGAACAAACAAACAAGCAAATACAACCTTAACCAACACCAGCTCAACAGATATAGTCTATAAATTAATTATCAGCAAAGGTACAAAGTATGCAATAAAGTACTTAACAATATACATTTTATTTACCTCAGTTTCTCTACTTCTCTACATCTTACCAGATGGGTTATTTGAAAGAACTCCAATCTCCTACACAAAAAAGCAGGACTCTGGCAGATTGCTAACTAGAGATTTTTGGCCCTATAGGCAAGCATCTGTGAGTGGGGCTGTGTGGGAAACAAAAATATGTTGGAAAAAGAGTTGATAGATGCCCCAGCATAAATGAGGACCCAGCAAAATCCATACTCCTGTCATGGCATCTCTGTCCATCCATTTCTGTTAGTTACCAAGGAACTAGCCCAGAGCAAGGGCAAATGGACCACAATAGCTGGAGAAGTGGGAGAAAAGGAGGTATACCTTGAAGGAGTAAACAGTTTTGGATTTGTACAATGTTTTAAAATCATTAACAGAGACATCAAATCATTAGCTGTCAACCTGGTTCAACTTACTTAGAATACGTGTTTTTTTTTTTTTAATCCCATTGGAACAGAAATGCAATATAATCATGAATTTCATCTCTTATTCTTTATGTCTATAATAAATTTTGTTTTTTCTCTGGAAGTCCTGCATAAACATAAATGGTATTCCCTCTAAATTGCAGTTATTCTCACAGCCTCTGAAACCAAGTATGGGTCGCCTTCCCGTTCTGCACCAGGTCTCACCCACGCTTGATTTCATGGGCCAGGAGAGCACATCTGGCAGATCTAACAGAGGTCTGAAGTCAGGACAGTTAGCTAGAAGGTGATAAAGGAGTAAAGCAAGAGAAGATACAATAAAATCTGTTGTATAAATAACATTTTATGTAAGAACCAGCAAATATAACTCAGGGGAAGACATTTTCAGTGCAATTTTCCATTCGGATTATCTGTACTGTATCCAAGATAATATGTAGCGACAGGTAAACATTCAACAATTCTTTCAAAATCTATTTTGTATATATTTCTTTACTGTCAATTTTCGATCATCTGGAAAATTCAACTATACAGTCTCACCCAGTGTACTTTACACCAATCGTTCTGGACTTAAATGTCTTTCTCCATCATCAAATTGTATTGACAAAGTATGCAGTTCAAGAAAGCCCTTCTAGTTTTTATGAGGTACCAAAAGGAAAATACATAAAATTACAATCTAAGATACCCTGACAACACAAAAATCCACAGAATTCTTTCTTGATACCTAAAACTTCGTATGACAAATTTGGTTTTATAAAATGTAGAGCTTTCAAAAAAAAAGCATACCATAACATTTTAAGAAATTCTAAAGTCTTGAGTAATTTGTTAATTTAGGATCTATAAATTTGTATCACAATTTTCCAACATTAAAAGAAAAATGAAAGCTAAGTAACAGACAAACCATGTTGGCATGATACTTTTAAATTTGCAAAATGCAATTATTGTCCATATAAGATTACCAAATAAAAACAAAATCAGAGTCATAGCATAGCAGAACTGAAAAATACCTCGAAATAAGCTCATAGCCTAATCCCAATAATTTAGAAATGGCAAAACAGGAGTTCTTGACCTTCATTTTAACCTGAGTTTGGAAATGCATCACTAGAGGTTGCAGGAATCAGTGACTTGCGTCAGCTCAATGTGACCAAGCTCTATGCCTCCACATATCCTCCAACAAAAATGAGAAGCTAAGGACATTTCATGACTGATCCTGAGAGTGGCCCAGAAACCTCTTTGCTCCATTGCCTCCCTGCACCTGTTCAGTTCCATTTCTACCTGGTTCCCTGCTCAGCTTCATCTCATTGCCATCAACCCTTGCATCAACACTTAAACTTGGTGTTGCCATTCTGTACCCTAGCTTTACTCTTCAGTGATCTTTTTTTCCTTCCTGAGACAGAAAGACTCATCTTGTCTGGGCCCCCCTATTTACCATAATCACCATGCCTCCCCCTCCCACCTACCTCACGAGCTCAGATCTTGGTGTCCACACGGAGCCTCTCTAGTATGCCAGCCTTGACAGACAGCACCATTGTTAACAATTTCCAGTTCTTTACAAGGTCATTGGATTTAACTCTTCAAAGCACTGTGCTTTAATTTCCGAGTGGCACTTTACCAACATTAACTTCTTTGTGGAAAGTTTTACATCAAGGTAGCATTTGCTCAAAGGGCATGGGCCACATAATAGGGACCTTCCAAGGGACCTTCATTAATGCATAGTGTGGGGTAGAGGAGTGGAACTAGTGATACAACAGATGAAAAGGAACTTTCCAAGTGGGCAATTAAAACAGGGCATTCCAAAGAGAAAGAGAGAAAGAGAAAGAAGGGTGAGCAAGTAAGAAGTATGGAAGATCCAGGAACTCCTGGAAGTTCATTATCACCAGAGAACAGGTAAAAGGGGGGACCTGGTGAGAGATCCAGAAAACTGAGGAAAGATCGGACTTGCAGGGACCATGTTGTCAAAGGCCATGCGTGAGTGCCAGGGAATTTGGATGTTTTCTCGGTAAGTGGTGAGACAGCAGAGGCTAGTTAGAAAGCTGTTGCCATTTTCATGTGAAAAATGAGAGTATAAAATCAGACTTGTGGCAGTGAAGATAAAAACAAACAAACAAACAAAAAACAACAACAACAAAAAACAATGAACACCAATAGAATTTGAGGATTGGATGTTGAGGAAGAATGCACGAGGACTCATGGGTTTCCAGCCCCCTGAACGTGGTGGTTATGACACCATTTACTCAGAGGTAAGGAGAAATCATAAAGAGATTTAAAGAAGGTAGGAAATTAGCTCAATTTTAACCATGGTAAATTTGAAGTAAATAGACTTGAAGATCCTAGATTTTAAAACCAAAAAATATAGTCAGGACAGCACAAGGACAGCATGCAGAGACAGAGTAATGACTGGAGGACTGAAAACCAAGTACTCCAATTGAAGGAGAAAGTTAAGGGGAAAATATCAAGAGAAAGAGCATGCTAACTTTTACACAGACCATGGGATGTCATATTACCCTACAGAAATATTTTAAAGCTTACAAAGTTTTTTGATGTTTTATCAGATCTCAATTTATAACTATAGTTGACAGTGACATAGAAGACATTTGCCTTTTTGCTATTTTAAATGCAAACTTCAGCCTAGCTTATTGTAATACTGCAGTTATTTCCAGCCACACACATGCAGATTCACAAGTGAAATAAATGCTTTAATACAGTATTTATATTGATTTCTATGTAGTACAATTGCTTTGAGGATCTCTACTAATCATTGACTTTACTTTACACTAAGGCTTCATGTAAAAATTGCTTTTCATACATTAACCCTAGAAAATTCTTCCTTGAAATCAATTAGGGAAATACATTCATAAAGCTCATCAAATGCATACACATCACAGAAAAAGAAGGTTATCCCTTGTTCTTGTTTACTCACCATCTTTACTTCAGGATACAGCACTTTGCTCATAATCAGAATTAGGTTTTAGTGTAATCCTTGATAAATATAACAACTGAGCAGATATAGTGGCTTGCCTGGGGCTCAATCCTCCTGTCTTCATTGCTATTCACTGTACTGCTCAGTCTAGATGCAGATCAGTCCCATCAGTTTCTGTATCATGCTTTGGACTCCTAACATTATTTCCAAGGAAGTTTGCTACAACCTTTTTTAAGAGCAGGTGGCCACTACGCAGAAAGACAGAGCTTTAATATAATCTCCCCCATCCACATAAAAGACACCACAGGGAGCTGTCAGTACGTGAAAAGTAATCAGTCACATAATCTTTATTAAACACAGCACATACCTCACCTCAAAGGACAGGAATCCTTAAACAAAAAAGGCCTGTTGTTGCAGATTACTTTAGATTTAGCCTCAGGATCAAAGCAAGGGTAATTTTATTTAATTTTATTTTTTAAATCCTGAGCCTTTACGTAGAGCGTTTTCCTTAGATGGATTTTTTTTTTTTTTAATCTCAATACCGATTCTTCCCTCTTAAAGGCTTGGGTTGAAATGCACAGTCTCACCACGCAGAGATGGTTTTATTGAACCATTTTTCTGGATTCTCTAGAATAAATCAACTCTTATAACTGTAACTCCAAAGATTTCATGTCATCTTAAATTTTTGTATGCCTGAGTATATTCTTTACTCTACCAGTAATTACTTTTTTAAAAAAGAAAGAAATATTATCTACTAGATGGCTTCACCCAGTCTGGGACATTAATATTTCACTTCAGGTACAGAATCAGATTACTCTCCCCACTCACAGTCAGGTCTTGATTTGGGATGACAGTGTGGAGAAATCAAGACACTGTTTTTAATTAGCCACTTTTGCGGGTCAACAAATGAAGAGTTCCATTATTTCTGTCTTTTGTGAGAAGCTCTGATTCAAACACTTGTTCACTTTGGAAAATATCAGTGAGAAAGGAGCTTTTCTATAACAAGCCACATTGCAGTAGCATCAATATAGAAGCTACATTTCTATCCATCCCAGATTACTCTAGAGCCTGGTAAATCCCCCAACTCCAGTCATTAACAGTTTTGTCTCCTATATAAAACAGTGCAACTGGACAAATGGTTTGCATACAATCAGATGTGTTTTTCCATTTCCTGAGAATAATATATTTAAGAATGAGTATTAGAGGATACCATAGCCTCTTGTTCCTTTGAAAAGTCTCACTGACTTCTAAAAAATATCCTTTCAACTCCAGCTATAAGTGAGTTAAAAATAACCCCACTGGTGAAAGAAAGTGAAAATTACAAAGCTCTAGTTATAAATATTTTTCTTTTAAATAGATAATATAAAAATGCATTTGATACATGACAATTCTTATAGCATTATTTTATATCTAGCTATCCCTCCATTGGAGTATTAGTTACTTGGTTCAAAATAATGTGTTGCCACTGGTGCTATTTTGCTCTCTACAAGTATGTTTAAAAATTAGGAGCCCCATCAGAAAATTAGGACATTTTTCTCCTATCCAATCAAACAAGAAGGTAAACAGTTTTTCCACATTGAGGCATTGTCAGTATATCAGCTCTGGCTGGAGGCCCCTGTACAAACCCAACCTTACTATATCATATGCACAAACCTTATTATTTCAAACCATTCCTCCAAATCTCTAACCGTTAAAGCACTGAGTGGTCCTAAATCCTGGCTATGTATTAGACTCTTCCGTAAAGTTTTTTTTTAAAATACAGACACTTATAAACTGTGATGTAATTGTGCTGGGATAGGACTTAAGCATCGACACTTTTATAAGCTCTCCAAGTGATCTAAGGTGCAGCCAGGTTGAGAATCACTGCCGTAAGGAAATGTCTTAGTAGTTGTATCATCCAATTTCACCCAACTGTAGAGCTAACCACTTTCCCTTCACAAACATGGAATCAGAGATCAAATCATGACAGTTTTCAATATATTTCTATCAAATAATTTGAACAATCTCACAGTACTTTCTACATTCAAACAGAACAGTACTTTATATTTTGCATATTCAAAACAGCATATTTGAAAGAAAGTGGTGAAAAAAACAGTAACAAGAAGAAATAAATGTCCACTACACACGCCCTCAAATAGTTAAGTAATGTGATTTCCCCAGCCAGATTTCTACAATCCTTCCTCCCATGCATACTGGCATACTATTCCCCACCGTTACTCATCACCGATTAAAACAAAATAAAACAAAAGCCGATAAGCCGGGGCGTGGTGGCTCAGTCCTGTAACCCCAGCACTTTGGAGGCTGAGGTGGGTGGACTGCTTGAGCACAGGAGTTTGAGAACAGCCTGGGCAACATGGTGAAACCTCATCTCTACCAATAAACAAATAAATAAATAGCCAGGCATGGTTGTGCACACCTGTGGTCCCAGCTACTCCCAGAGGCTAAGGTGGGAGGATCACTTGAGCCCGAGAGGCGGAGGTTGCAGTGAGCCAAGATCGTGCCACTGCACTCCAACCTGGGTGACAGAGTGAGACCTCATCTCAAAAAACAGAACAAAACGAAACACCATAAAATTAAAAATTAAAAATAGAGACACCCATGTTGTCTGGATAAAGATAAAACCAGGGGATAATGGGCTGGACATGGTGGCTCAGGCCTGTAATCCCAGCACTTCCAGAGGCCGAGGCGGGTGGATCACCTGAGGTCAGGAGTTCCAGACTAGCCTGGCCAACATTGTGAAACCCCATCTCTACTAGAAATACAAAAATTAGTTGGGTGTGGTGGGGTATGCCTGTGATCCTAGCTACTCAGGAGTCTG
Organism: Homo sapiens; assembly: GCF_000001405.40. Classification (NCBI taxonomy): domain Eukaryota; kingdom Metazoa; phylum Chordata; class Mammalia; order Primates; family Hominidae; genus Homo; species Homo sapiens. Next base: position 168,546,360 of record NC_000003.12, on the reverse strand, counting down.
AGGCAGGAGAATCGCTTCAGCCAGGGAGGTGGAGGTTGCAGTGAGCCAAGATCATGCCACCGCACCCCAGCCTGGGCAACAGACCGAGACTCCATCTCAAAAAAAAAAAAAAAACAAACAAAAAAACAAAAACAAAAACAAAACAAAAAAAAACATGGGATAACGTGCATTAGAGATGTGGGGTGGGTGAATCCAATAGGATCTCCTAATGAACCACAGCACCTCATATCCACGTCCTTTGCAATGTGACTTTACCACGCTGCCCATTGAGAAGTAGACTGTATTTCTCTGTCCATTGAAAATGGACTGGCCTTATAATTTGCTTTCATGGAGAGAATGCTATAGAATTGCCATTGTGTGACTTCTCAAGGTAAGCCTTAAGAGACATGCAGCTTTTGTTTTGTCCTTGTGGAATGCTCCCATTATCAATTGAAAAAACATACTCCAGCCTACTGAAAAATGAGAGGGAATGCAGGGGAGAACTCGGGCACCACAGCCAACAGCCAGCATCAACTGCCAGGCCTGTCAGTGAGGTCATTTGGTATTACCCAGCCCCAGCTGAGCTGTCAAATGTCTACAGTTATGTGAATGAACTCAGGCAGGATCAACAGCAAGACCAGCAAAAGAATCTGCTGGCTGAGCCCCAGCCCAGACTGCAGAATCATGAGCAAATAAACAGTTGCTATTTTATGCCAGTAAGGGTTGAGGTGCTTTGTTATATACAAAGAGATAATTCATACAGAAATTTATGTAATATTTCAAAAGAACTAATAACTACTGTCCTTACTTTGATATACACATACTACATGCAATTTATAAATAGCAAATTTTTGAAGTCTTAGCTTCATAAAGTATTTTTCAATTCAACCTCTCCCCCAATAAACTTCACAAAAGTAATACATTTGCTTTTCATTTTACTCCATGATTAGGTGTAGGATAAAAGTAAGTGCCATAGCTATCTCTACAAAAGTCAGGAAACAAATTAGCCTAAACTTGCTTTATAATAACAATGTTTATAGAATTCACTTTATTTCTCCTAGAGAACAAGGTATAAAAAGAAAAATTCCAGGAGGGATTATAACAAAAGTTTTCAAGCTTGGTTACCTTTGATAACTTTTACTTACAAACCACTTCACTAAATATTCCACCTAATGGAAAACCCCCTCAAAAACCTTTCTGCAAAAATGGTGGTAACTAGGATATTTGCAAATATTCTGTAAGAATCTTCTTTGAGCATGAATTTAGGCTATGGCTGAAGGGAAATATGGCTTTGTGGCTTCGTTTTTCTATTTTTTGGTCTTGCACTTTTTTGTGTGATTTGGGGATAGTTTTCTCATACTGTAATAGTTTTCTATTGACTGTATTACTATTCTATTGCTGCTCTAACAAGTTACACTTAAACAAATTTATTCCCTTACATTTCTGGAAGGCAGACATCTGAAATTAGTTTCACTGAGCTAAACACAAACTGTTAGAAGGGCCACTCTCCCTCTGGAACTCTAGAGAAGAATCCTTTTCCTTTCCTTTTCCAGCCTCTAGAATTGCATTCCTTGCACTCCTTGGCTCATAGACTCTGCCTTCAGCTTTAAAGCCAGCAGCACAGCATCTCCAAATCTGTTTGCTTCCAACATCACACCACTTTCTCCTCTTCTGTAGTCTAATCTCCCTCTGCCAACCCTTTTAAGGACATCTATAATCATCTCACTGGGCCCACCTGGATAGTCCAGGATAATCTTCCCATCTCCAGATTTTTTAATGACATCTGCAAAGTCCCCTTTGTCATGTAAGGTAACATCTTCACACAGTCAGGGAATTTGAATATGGATTTAGGGAGGCATTATTTAGCCTACCACACTGCCTTTAGTTGTTTACTGTTTGCCACTAAGGTCAAGATTCCCCAAGTAATTTCTGTGTTGAGCTAGCTCAATTGAGGAAAAGTAATGAAAATTCTTTGTTTACACATCTTCTACAATATACACTAAACTTTCTGCTTAAACCAAGCAATAATTAAATCATCAATTAAGCTTGGCTTAAGCCAAAATCTGACTGGTTAAAAACTATAGCAAAACTGGTCATAAGGTGGAGCTGTTCATTTTTCCAGCATTTTATTCTACTTAAGAACATGAATGTCATCATTTATTTGCCAGGTTGAATAAAAATTTCATCCAAAATGGTTGTTTCAAAGAATGCTGGGTAAATATTGCTTTCTGTTTAAACTTGAACACAAACACAACTTAGTGGCTTCCTATTTAACTTTAACTATCATTTTAAAAATGTATTCTTAACCTAACACAGTTTAATTTTATTAGCAGCATAAAAACAAATGTACACTATAGTTCTTCCACTGACAATGTTGCCTACTTGAAGGCATCATAAAGTTATAAGCATAGATTTATAATTCATACATTATTTAAAAAGAAGATACCCTTAATACTTTTTATCTGCAAAAGAAAGTAATATATTTCAATTGACATTATTGTTATTAGAATGATTCAAGTATGTGATGCAGAGTATTTAGACAATATAACTAGAATATAATATTTACATGTATGAAATCTCATTGACTCAGACAATAAGTAATAAACTACTTCTAATCTGTGCTAAAGGGACTATTTTATAGGGTAAATCAAATAAAGAAAACAAAGCAGTAAATGCAAATACTTGTTAAGATGATAGGGAATCAGATGTGCATTAAAACATCACATTATAGAATAGATAAGACAAATTTAAGAACATAATCTGAAGTACAACATTCAAAAGCAATAGCATGCAAATTAACTATTTTCATTTTATGAGAGCTCAGACATTATTTTTCAGGTTATAAAAGTAAATGATAAATTATTGTAATGGTTTAAGAAGTTTGAGAAAGTAACATCCAAAGTTAAAATACTGTTAACCAAAGGTCAGAACTGATAAAACAATAGTAGTTGACTATACAGCACATTTTGCATTTAAAAAAATATTGAGCAGTTTTCTCTTACTAGTGAGAGAAGAAAATTTCCTAATCTTTATTCCATTCCTTCCCAAAATCTTACTAAAATGAAAATATGGAAATCCAGTACAAACACAGCAGTGTACAGAGAAAAGGAAATGAAATATCAGAAGATAAGGGATAAACTTTTGAAAGAGGATAGCAGATGGAAGTGGAGTTACTGAGTTAGCAAAACCAAGAAACTTCACTGCTTAGGTAAGTAAAGTGGGTTTACCAGGAGGATGGAAGCCAGATTCATATGCCATATCCCTGCCAGGCTTAGAAATTATTTTTCAGGGACCCCTGAAGTCTAGGATGAAGGGTGGGACAGAGCAGGAGTATTTTTGTTTTAAAGTCCATATAAGAGAATACAGACTATCAGAACCCCTGGCTCACTCAGTCAGCTGAACTACTCTCCCTACATAAAGTTTGCTTTCTGGAAAGGTTTAAGGACCCTAGCTAAAGGTGAGGATGAAGTACTACACTAAAAACAGGGGTTAAATATACTCTCCATATTGAATGAGAATGGAGAATTCTTTTCTGGGGAAAATAAGTGGCCCAAGAAAAAAAACCTACAGATTCTGACTGACATTTGCATGTACTCCCTGAAAAAAAAAAATAGCTAGTCCCTGTTCATTTACCCAAAGATGACTCTCTTCTCTCTCTCTCTCTCTCTCTCACACACACACACACACACACACACACACACACACAACTTCCCATCAGCCTTTTGTGTACTTCATTTTCAAATGTAAGTGGACAGTCAAGGATTACATTTGAGAAATGCCTCTACTATGAGAGAAAGACTAAAATAAACAGTGAAAAAAAAATGATAAAAATAGAAAACCTAAATAAGTGTGTTTGTGGTGGGGGGAGGTGGTATTTGTGTATGTGTACTTTCAGAGATAAAAGAAGATACTGTAGATATTATACCTATGTAATTTCATCAGAAAATACAAAATCTTTTAGAAAACAGGAAAGAACATTTAGACATTTAAAATGATTGTTTAAAAATAATCCAATATAAAGGTTGAATAAATCTCTCAGAGTAAAAAAATTAAACAAATGGATGGAGAATAAGAGACTAAAAATACACATATAGTAGAGAATCAATCTAGGAGAATCAACATTGATCAGTGAAGTTTTCAGAAAGATAAAAGAGAGAAAGCAGGGTCAGAAATGACCCAAGAAATCAGACTACAATTTTCCAGTACTGAAGGGCATACACTTCTGGATTAAAAGAGTCATCCAAACACATAGCACAAATAAATGAAAAAAGGCCCACACCAAGACACAACATTATGAAATTTCAGAACACCAGGTAGAAATAAAAAATTGTAAAACCCTTAGAAAATAACCAGATACAATAGACTGAGAATCCAAATGTTATCAGACTTCTCAAACTGGAAGGAAGACAAGAATAGAATGGAGTATTATAGCTTTCAAAATTTCAGGGGGTTATTTTTTTTCAACCTAGAATTCTATAACAAGCTATATGATCAATCACATGTGAGGGTATAAAAAAGAGTTTTTGAGATAGTCAAGATTTCAAGGAATTTGCCCTTCAATCACTCTTTCTCAAGTAACAGACATGAGATTCATAAAACAATATGAAAGAGGCAGAGGCAATTCCCACTGTGATGATGAAGAGAAATCTTTTTTTTTTTTTTTTTTTTTTTTGAGACGGAGTCTCGCTCTGTCGCCCAGGCTGGAGTGCAGTGGCGCGATCTTGGCTCGCTGCAAGCTCCACCTCCCGGGTTCACGCCATTCTCCTGCCTCAGCCTCCCAAGTAGCTGGGACTACAAGTGCCCACCACCACGCCTGGCTAATTTTTTGTATTTTTAGTAGAGACAGGGTTTCACCATGTTAGCCAAGATGGTCTTGATCTCCTGACCTCGTGATCTGCCCACCTCAGCCTCCCAAAGCACTGGGATTATAGGCGTGAGCTACCGCGCCCGGCCAAGAGAAATCTTAAGTAACAACTGTGATTCAGACGTGAGGGAAACCAACTTCACTGGAGTAGTGTCTGATAGGCCCTAAGGAGCTGTCTTTAAAGAGAAAATAGGACTGCTAGATTCCTTCACGAATTTGACCCTGTTGAGATGAATCTATAAGTTCAGAAAGTTTGCACTGAGTTAGTGATGTTTACATAGGAAAATAAACAAATGAAAAAAATTGTTGGCTCCACAGAAAAGTCAGAAAAGAAATTTAATCATGGTACACTGAATGGTTTATCTTTGATCGGTGATTATATAGTTACAAACTATTGAATGTGAATTTAATAAAAATATGTGCCACAAGATTTGGAAGGATGGGATAGAGGAAAAACGTATATAACAAGGTGTGGAGGAAGACATGAAGTAAGGAAAAGCACTCATCATTTCTTGTAGGAAGATGGTAGACCATAATTGAAACTGAAATATCAGAAAACTGCCTTGTGGTCATTACTGGCACAAACTATGAAACTACATATGAGAAGAAACAACTATGAAAGAGTTGAAATTAGGTTCAGTCTAGGAAATAGGGAGAGAGGAATGGGAGTGGTGGGTAAGAAGATAGCTTTTCAAAAATGATAATAAGTCTTGTATTACTCTTTGACTTTAAAAACTATGAACATGTACCACATTCATAAAACGCAATGACAAGTTTACAGAAAGCACACATATAGTAAAAATCTTATAGTCCACTAATGGTTAACTCTTTTTGCTGCTTGTGTTCAAGAGAGTAATACAAACATGTTTTGGTATTACATACCAAATGTTACTCTATTCATTTGATTTCTAGCATTTCTATGACTGAAATTGCAATTTGTAGGGGCTTCACGGTGGCTCTAAGATAATTCCAAAGCTTTCAGTATAAATTGGTCCTCTTAAACGCTGTGCATAAATTTTTCTCCAACTCAAGCTACCAAATGGCAATCAAAATGAAATACAAACAGGATGTTAACATTGCTTTATTTACATGCTGAGCATAGAGAAAATAATAGTAAAATACTACCACCACTCATATCCTCAGAGGAAACAGCATCTCATTAGGACAATTACATGTTGTCAATGCTATAACTCAAATGAAAAAACAAATGCTTATGTATGTTATGTCTAGGTACTATGCTAGGTAAACAGGAAATATGAAGATGCATAAGAAACAGTCACTTCATTCAAGGAGTTTATAATCAAAGAAATTAAAACACTGAAGGCTCTCTTAACTAACCTACATTTATCTGATACACTGAACTAATCTTTACTTAGCATTTCCTTTGTTAAATATGACTAATGTCCACAGCATGTTGAACACTCACACTAGTGACTACATTTTCACCATGAGCTTCTTCACTCAATTGGGTTGTATGCCTAGTCAGTTGTGTTTGCTCTCAAACTCAACTGTCCTTTGTACATTTAATTATAATGATATAAATTTGATTAAATATTATAAAAATCAGTAAGACTTGAGTGTTAAATTAAAAACGAGTAGTTGAAAGTTTTGAGAATCAGACTCATGGTGGAAAGTTGAAAAAGCCTTGTTGAATTAGGTATTAAAAAAAAGCATAAAAACCTAGAAGGATTTTTCACAGATAACTTTGCAAGTATGTTTATATTCTCACTTATTTTCCAAGAACATGAAACTAGAGATGGGAGAAACACATAATGGATGTCATTTATACTAAAAATACAACAAAAAAATGTCCAAGAGAAAACCAATTATCAAAGAAAAAGTCCTGACTATTAATCAAAAGATAGGTTATCTAAAGTATATTTATATATACTCAGTTAAAATAAATGCTTAAGGTTATATGTATTAATGACTTTTGGATTCTATACTGTTACCAATGTGTCCATTTACCAGCTAACTACTGGTGCTGCTTATATTGAATAAGAGAGTTTCCCCTCTTTGCAACAGTCACTTGGGTTTCAGGAGATATATTTATAATAGGATCCCTTGGAGTAGTGATGAATATGTTGTTCCAGTCCCATTTATTCTCCCAACATCTTCAGCTGTAATCAAAACTAACTGATAATGTGCACTTCCAAGATTATTGGCTATGCTTGGCAAAGTAACTGGCCCAATTTTAAGGATTTCACATAATTTCTCAATCTTTTGACAACTATTTTCTAAATTATTGAATTATTAGCACAGGAAACAGTAAATCTTACTAGAGAAAAAAACAATGATTCTCAAGAAAAGACACATAAAATAGAATATTAGAATCTCAGGCTGGAAAGGACCTCAGATGTCATACGACCTAATAAGCTATCCAATTCATTAAAAATGTAGATAAACCCAATGCTGAAAACAGAAGGAGGAGAACAGTTCTAAGTATTCATGCTGGTAGTTATTACATCCTGATTGCAATAAAAAATATGCCATCTCATATTAGGTCAGAGGTTTTTGTTTCAGTCGTCATGAAGTGAGGTTTCAAACTGCAATATGTCCCATGTAATAACTTGTTTTTCACTGAAATGATTCAAAAATGAAAATTAAAATATAAATTATGGATGTTTAGATTTTACTTGGGGTTTTATTTAACTGTTTATAATTAAATTAGAATACAGTGATTCAGATGACTCCTATTACTTATATTTTAGGAACCTCATAACCCAGCGCCATAACATGTAACAAAAATCCTTCACTTTTATAGAATATATCTCAGAAAACTTTATAATATATAATTTCCATTTTCTACAGATTTTCAGTATATAGTCTCACATGGTTAAATACAGAATAGATTGGCTTAAACTGTTTGATGAATTATGGATTGAACCTGAAGTACTATTACAATTGTCATAAAAGAATTTGTTTGGCATCATGAAATCCAGACATTGGTCTAAGACACACATAGTTGCCTTTTCAGGATCTAAAAATATACCCTCATTATTGGTCTTTCCTCTCTTCATGGAGATCCAGTCCCCTCTCCATCCCCAACTTATTGTTCTAGATTTTTCTTTCTACTTTTTTTCCCATAAGTGTTGACTAATAGAGCTAACCTGCAGTATCACAATTCTCTAATGTGGGGTCACATGAAATAGTCGTTTTAAAAAATCTCAACCTGGAGAAGATGCAGTATATTAAATATATATATTTTTAAATTTCTATACATTTTACAGTCTGTGTATTGGATTAGAATAGAGACAATTTCTTTTTAAATGAGAAAAATTTATATTTATATCTTATAACCTAGGACATTTTATAACCTTGTACAAATTTTTTGAAGTATAGAAAAATAAATAAAATTGTAAAATCTCAAGTTATAAGGAAATTTAAAAATCATCTGGTATTATCACTTACACTTTGAACTCTCTTTACAGTTCTCTCACCAAGAAGTTGTTCACTGATATCAATATTCCCCCAAACTAAGAAATTTTACCTTCTGATGCAGCCCCATTGTGTGTGTGTATGTATATATATATATATACACAATAGTTATATATATATATACACACACAATAGTTATATATATATATAACTATTACAGAGTTATTGTGAGTGACAAAAGTCTGTCTTCTTGCCTTTTTGTTTTGTTTTTTCTGTACCTAGAGACCACTTGTGTCTTCAGCAAGGCTAAAAATTCTTCATGTCATTAATGAATGCCATCTCTGTAGCCAAACATTTATTTCCCAAACTTTCTCTCTTCATTGTCCCAGCCACTTAATGAAAGAAGCAATGAAACCTCCAACAATGCTTCCCAAATCCAGTTTTCTGCCTAAGTCTTTAAAAATACCAAAGATACTTTCTTAGAGTTTGCATATATCATTAAGACCTATCCGCCCAACTACATAAAATATGAATCTCAGCAAAGACTACCTCATGTTACCTTTTTCCCTTTGCATGTAATTATAATGAGCTAGTGTTGTTCTGCATCTATGTCTCATTCAAAAGAGACTTTCCAATTACAATAACCTGTTACTAGCTTTGAGAAGATATCAAAACGACATGCTTTTAAATTCTAGAGTATGCCATTCATAATTTAGCAGTTGGTATTTCCACCAAGATATGTAAAGACAAACAGATAACCACTTCTAATGTTGTTTACCATGTGATCAATATAGATGGTTACCAGTGCATGATACTAACAAAGCCGGTTCTGATAATAGAAAATATTCTAACAAGCTGAAATACATGATTGTAAAAAACAAGAATTAGTTGTTTTACAATAGAATTTATCTTGTTCATTGCCATAAGAGTTTTGCATAGAAAATTGTTAAAGTTCCTGGGTTAAGAATTAAGTCTAAAATATTATGATCTTACCAAACATGAATATTCCATTTTAGTAGAATCATATTTATTTAAATAAAGGCAGAAAAAGTTGTATTCTAAAGAAAAATATGTTACTATTCTGATCTTACAATAATAATGTTTTAGTAAATTGTCTCTAAACTGTAAAATACTTAAAGTATTCAAATGTTACTATTAATTTTTCTCAAACTCAACATCTCCTTATGTAGGCTAGTCTGTCTTGCCTATTTGAGTGACTTTGTTTTACATCTTGAATCAGTTTGCATTTAAATCTTTTATCCTACTAAAATTCAAAGTGAATTTGTTTATTGAAGGTTCAAGGTACAGCAACTTGCTCTCCAGATTTTGTGCAGGTTTTGTCATGATTAATTTGCTTCAGGCTTTTTGCTTCGTTTTGTTTTGCTGATTTGGCATCACTTTCTAATTCCTACCTCTTCAGAATGCACTCTATTCTGTCCTGTGTGGATCGATCTACAGAAAGCGCACACCCTAGCAACTGCTCAGGTTTTCCACCTCTCACTGCATAAATTGTTGAAGCAAAACACGTATAAGTTGGAAAAATTGATGGAAAAAATCTTGTATTTTTTCTCCTCTCATCCATAAAATAACAAAAGAGGTATTCAGCCAGAAATGCTTCAGAGTAAGTATATCAAGGAGAGGCACAAAAAATATATCTCATTATAAGGAAAGTGATAAAACCTATTTGATGAAATTACATATCACCTGTTGTGCAGATGTGCCAGTGGTCTAGAAAACAAGAAGTGTGTACAACTATGGTCACAAAGAAAACCTGGAACTCTGTCCAAAAACAAATTAACTTATAATAACTTATCAGTAAAGTCTCCAGTTATTCCTTAGTAATCTTATATTCTTCTACCTAAACTTTTCATTGAGTGAAATGGATTATAACATCATGATGGCAATTCCCATTTGGAGTTGAGCATGAAATCCAAATATCGTAAGAAATTTTACATTTTTGAGAGCAGAAGAAAGTTTTTACTACTCAAAAATGTTTCCATTTCTTTGTATTATTTATGAGAATTATTTCCTTGTTTAAGTGTGGATATGACATTGATTTCAGCATTACTTTTAAAAGACACAATTCAACAATCCCTTTTAGGAGGCTTTAAGAAGAATGTGCAAATGTGGTTCTGCTCTCACATAAAATGTAGGGAAAGGGATCTACTTCAAATTATAAGCATAATATGTTTATGCTGTGCAGCACATAGTGAAAACAAACAATAATATGAGTTTATTGGCATGTGAACCAAGCTACTTGAAACAGATGACAAAATTCACACTACCAAAGCAGTATAGACAGTATAGTTCAGTGTTTAAAGATGAACTTCCATATATAGACCAGAATTTGAATTCTATATCTGCCTCACCCTAGTAGGTTAAATTTAGAAAAGTCACTAAATCTCCCTCCATAAGACTCCGTTTTCCCATTATGAACTGTTAATAACAAAATATACCTCATGTTATTATGAAGACTAAATGATATCACTTTATCTTTCATTTGATCAATATATATATATTATTATATATAGCAGGCAGTATTCTAGGCACTAGGGATACAGCAGCAAAATACAACAGAACTAAAATGAAAGACATAGACCACTGAGGAGGAAATATTTGTGTTGAGACAATGAAGGATTAAAAAAAACTTCCGAGCAAAAGCCTTCTAGAGAGAGAGACAAGAAAGTGCAATGGGCCTGTTTCAGAAGGGGTCTATGAAGATGAAAAACAGAAAGGAGGCCAGTGTAACTGGCAGACAGTAGGGAGTGAGGACAACTTTGGGGCAACAAATAGGACAAATTCTATAGGGCTTTCTTGCTTGGTTGGTTATAATTTATTAGGACCTGCACATTTACTGGCACATAATAAGTTAATACCTTTCAGGTATGAAAATTAATATCATTTTTAAAATAACTTTCAGAGCCATCTATTTTACCCATCCCCCTCATCTTTTCTCTCTCCAGGGTTAAAACTACTCGACCCTTAGCATCAATTCTACCTCAATCTGTAGGATCAATCTTGAAATTGAAGAAGGGGTGTATAACAGCTAGAGAACATAAAACGTCAATACTGGTGACACTTTGTTGGGGCTATAGATTCTGACTGCGGGTGGCAGCATTCCACTCAAGTATCCAGATTGGACCAGTCATACCTCATCCCCAGGAGCAGACCATCCCAGCCACACTGTGGCTAGATAAGATCTCCTCCCGCCACAAGAAACAAAGCCACATATGTCTTGCTGGAGAAGAACAGGGTCAGGGTTAGGTATCTAAAACACTGAACATTTTTCTAAAAGGTACTGAATCATCAAAAAAAGATCATTCAAATTGAAAGTATCAGTGATATCATATGCTGACAAATGTAAAGTTTGTTTCCTAGTCCGTCTATTTCACATTCAAAAGTAGCTCATTGATTCTTGAAAAGAAAAATATCAGAAAAAATCTGTAAATACACTGATAATTGCTTTCTAACACACACATCTTTAAAATTATTTTAATCTGTGTGCATATTATATAACAAAATGAAAATATCACATAAATGTGATTAAACAGAATTTTGTATTGAGAATTCAAAACCAAAAGGCAAAACATGTTAAAGTACTGCAAGCACATAATTTGTTTTGCGAATATTCAGATTTGAATATTAGCTGCTTATTTGTAATAAAAAGGTTTCAAAATTACTTAGGTTTAGAAACAACAAAAATAACATGATTTAACTGTAAAGGCTTTAGACATATAAACTTAATATATAAAAATAGGTAAAAGATTTCTTAAAGGTTAAAAAATTATTTCGTTTGATTTCTCTAAACAATCCAATACATCCTTTCTTCACTCATCTGTAATATTGATATAATTGTTTCAGTTTTTATTTTCATTTTCATAGCTTCTTTCCTCTGAAGTAATCCTTTTCTGGGAGACGGAAGATAACCTAATAGATTTTTCTATCTTTAATTTTGTAGGCTCTGTGAATTTTTAATGCTAATGCTTTAAAGAATTCCTCTTATTTAAATAAGATATTTGATAAAAAGTATTCCAGATAATCTTCCCACTAAATCTTTAACAGCAAAGCATAAAAAAACTTATTACCATATGCTCTTTAATGCCTAAAGCAAAGATCTCTTATGGAATCGAGAATCATAATGAGGTCAATCTCAGTTCCATCAATGTTATGTTCTATTAAAATCAAATCCAATCACATTCCTTATTTCAACCCAGCATGGCTTGGCTTTGAGGTATGTTCAGAAATGCACTTAAATTAGAAGAAAAACATTAACATTTTATCGTGTGAATACCACTAATGGCACAAGAAGATTAATACCACAATCTTCACAAGAAGATTAGTAGTAACACATTCTGGAGACTTCCTCTACTGAAAATGTACCTTTAATAATATTCTCACACACTTAACTGTAACTGTGGGAGTTATGGTTTCAACTGACGAAGTTCAGGAACTCATGCTTAAAAAAAAAAAAAAATGAAAAACAACTCCCACCAAAACAGGTGGCATTTATTCTCTCTATAAATGAAAACCCCTAACCAGTTCTACTTGACATCTTACCAGACAATGATTCTTCATTTACATCGTCTCCAATTAAGTAAAATAAAGTGGGGTCATTCTTAGGTGAGTGGTAAATCATACTAGATAAATTATGAGCTATAACTAATTGTCTTAATTCTAGGAATGCTTTCTTTGATGGGGGTAGGTTCTTTATTGCCTAGTAGGAAATTACACAAATTCATTACAATTCTACTACTATTCTCTGTACTTTATCTGTCTAGACATACAGCTCACAAAGCTCAAAATATCCAGTTATGATAATCTTTCAATTTGAAGTCTAAAGAAGGCTGGTCTCACAGTAAACAGCTTCAGAGTTAACCCCATTCCACACACTAATAGTAAATCACTGAGAACAAGGAAATAATAAAAGATAGTCCTTAATTTATGGCAGAAGTGTATTCCTTTATACTTTATTTCCTTAGAATGAATTTAATTTCTTGAGTGCTTAAATTATAAGCAGAACTCTTCTAGACATGTCAGATATAGAAGCCATGGCCTCATGAAGATTATAATATATAGATATATCTAAGGACCAGGAATGCATGGAATTAAAGACCTTTTAAGCAGTAAATTCTCTCAAAGGTCATGACGAATGAGTCTGTAGTACCTTTCCTTAAACCACAATTAATTAATTGTGGTGAGCTAATTAATATTCTGGTGAGACTAGACTCTAGAAGCCTGACTCTCAGCCATTTCTCACCCTAAATATGAAACAGAAAAGTTGCATGTAGGTAGATGTTATGATATAAAATGTGCATGCATCTGTTAAAAGATAAACTGACACATTAAAATTTAAAAATTTATTTGAACAGACAGCAATTCATGAATTGGGTTTGGTGCTCCACCAAAGGAGTCCTAGGGGAAGGCTTTTATAGGGTGAATACTGAAGCAAGGCAAAAAAAATCATTTGCTTGGTTAAAGTTTGATCAGTTGCCCTATTTGGATTATCCCAGTAGAAAGTTCAAGACAATATAACTAATGTCTACTTGGGTCCCTGTGATTACATGAACTTAATTTTCATTTTCTTTTAAATTAAGAGTTAGGTTTCTGTTTCCTAAAGTAGGAACCTAGGTTGTTAAAGACACCTCCATCTAATAGCCTCCAATTTAATTATTTTAGCATATTGATACTATGGCAATTCAAAATGTGGAAAATACTCAGGGAAGGGCCATCTTATCACTTTGAATTTAAATCACTGGTGAATTGCCTGTTCCTGGAGTCTTAACCTCTAACAATTTAAGACCAGCAGGTGTACCTTACTCCAAATTACATGAAAACAAAGGTGCTACTCATGCACATACATTCCTTCCCAAGTCTGAAAAAGCCCTCACCATCCTCCAGCTTTCTAGAGCTGTGAGCGCAAAAGCTCAGCACATAACTAGACCCTTCTACAATACATGTTGTCACCATTTTAGCTGAAGCCAGGTACTCTCTGCTCTCTGTGCATCAATTCTAGACTCTTTTTTAGGAATATTGTCCCCACAGATGAGTCATAGATCTGGTAGTCACGCATTTGCCATGAGGCTCCATATCTGCTTTATCCTCTGGTAACAAGTGAAAGTACTGAAAGGGAAGGCAGTAGGAAGAGGAAAAGCAAGAAAGGCAGAATTAGGGAACTCAAGCGACTGAAGAAACTTCAGGTATTGACCCCTAAGTTTTGGCATCAGCCACAAACTCTTAAAAAGCGTTTTTAAACCACTGGTTCCTTGCTATAAGGATTACTCTATAATGTTTGAAAAATATAGCATATTGCATCTAGTACAACGGAAAATTTTCTAAAACTACCATTTTAAGGGGTTCAGAGTATAAATAATAAATTAGGTTTATTGTTATTAGTACACATGTGGTGTACGAAATCTTGCCAACCCGGAGTTCTTTATTCTAAAGTCAAATATGGTATATGTGAATTCACTATGAAATACTTGGTTAGTAACGATGAGAAATGGTTCAAATATGCTTAAATGCCTAGTCTTTACAGTTGGAGATAATTGAAACAAGAGCTATTGACTCTCATTTCTAAAAATGATGAAAGACAGAGAACAAATAAGAGGTCTGCATCTCTCACACTCTCCCCATGAAGTCTTGAAGGAAAAAATACACACACACACACACACACAGAGAGAGAGAGAGAGAGAGAGACAGAAAGAGAGAAAGGGAAAGATAGACACATCCACACACACACATAGACATAGAGAATAGACCTGCTAGCCTCAGAGGCATACATACAATGTTACGCTTGGGAAAAAGCAACGTGTGAGACTTGTGTCAAGAGCACAGACAAAGGGCTTTGGAAAAAGCCTGGGACAAAGGGTCAACAACTCTGAGTGATTCAGTCAGAACTCATTAAATGTTGAGCTGGTGGCTAAAAGAGCCGTAACTAACACAAAGCAGAGCACATTTAAGAGTATTGTTTTAAGACAGTGAATGAATACGTTAAATTTACACAATGGGCAAGGGATTGGTAAATGGAAATTCTTAAATATAGTAAATATTTTTACTAATTTTAAGGCCTACAAAATTGTAACAATGTGATGTATATTGTGTGCTGCCTTAATTGTTTTATTTTCACCTTCATAAAATATTTATATAAGTGCATTCAGCGGTTTACTCCTTACCTCTATCTCCTGATCCTATTCTTTCTCATTAGACATCAAATAATTCAAAGACTAAGTTGGCTATTCAGAGGTTTTCAAAAACCTAATCATTATGACAAATACATCTCACATATTTTCTGCTTTGTAATTTATTATTATTGTTTTTGTTAAATTACTTCTGAAAGTCAAATATTCTGTGAAAGTTTTCCTGAGGTATTAAAAAAAAAAAAAACTTCTACGCCTAACCCTTCACTTGCCACTATATTTAAGACATTCATTTATATTATTTTTACCCAGCAGAACATTTATAACCTGTTATTATTTCCTCAATTTCATAAATGGCCAGTTCATATTTTTGTAACTCCACCATATTTTTTGCCTTAATTCAAGGTAGCCTTTGTTAACCTAATGATATTGACAATTTCCAAGTTAATGTCACAAATCTTATGGTACTAAATAACACATTTTAATATCAATGGATAGTTTTCTAGCCACTAATGTGACAAGGCTACAAATTCAATGCTCTGTATTATTTTTGTCCTATGGTGTTTTTACATACCATCAATTATAATGTCAGCTTAGAAAATTTTGTAAGACTAAGAGTGAAATCACTTGTTAAAGACTTCATGAGTCTTAGTGTTTCCAAAGTTTTGTGCCTTGCCATTGTTCATATCCTAGCCCAGACATTTACAATCTAAAAAAGTATTTACAGGGCAAGATCAAGAAAACACATAACCTTTAATGATATATTTATAAAAAAAAAAAAAAAAAAAAAAAAAACTCCACGTAAGTTGAATCAGGCACAATTGATATATACATTAATATGCTCAATTGTCAAAGGGTCAACATTTACTCAAGGCCATCTAAGTAACTGATGGAAATTAAAATAAATGAAAGTTATATATAGCCAAGCATTGCTTAATGATGGAATACATTCTGAGAAATGCATTGTGGGGTGATTGTGTCACTGTGCAAAATTATACAGTGTTGCTATGGTTTGGCTGTGCACCCCCCCAAATTTCATCTTGTATTTTAGTTCCCATAATCCCCAGGTGTCATGAAGGGGACCTGGTGGGAGGTAATTGAATCATGGGAGCAGTTACTTCTATGTTGTTCTCGTGATAGTGAGTGAGTTGTCATGAGATGTGATGGTTTTGTAAGGTGCTTTTCTCCCTTTGCTTGGCACTTCTCTCTCCTGCTGACGTGAAGAAGGACGTGTTTGCTTCCCCTTCTGCCATAATTGTAAGATTCCTGGGGTCTCCCCAGCCAAAGGAACCATAAATCGATTAAACCTCTTTCCTTTATAAATTACCCAGTCTCAGGCATTTCTTTATTGCAGCATGAGAACGAACTAATACAAGTGTACTTACAGAAACCTAGATCATATAACCTACTATATATCTGGGCTATATGGTATAGCTTATTGCTGCTAGGCTACAAACCTGTTCCTCATGTGACAGTACTGAATACTATCGGCAACTGTAACACAATGGTAAGAATATGTGTATCTAACCATAGAAAAGGTACAGTAAAAAAGAGGGTATTATAATATTATGAGACCACTGTGGTATATGTAACCCATCATTGACCAAAATGTCATTATGTGGTATGACTGTAGTTAGAACCATATAGAAGGTACCTTTTTGGATTGGCTTCTTTCACTTAGCAATATGCATTTAAATTTTCTGTATGTCTTTTCATGACTTGATAGCAATTTCTTTTTAGCACTAAATACGTACTACATGTATTAGGGAGCGTACTATAATTCCAACTACATGACATTTTGAGAAAGGCAAAACTATGAGGACAGTAAACATATTAGTGGTTTCCAAGGATTCTGGGTAGTGAGAAATGAATAGGCAGAGTACAGAGGATTTTTAGGGCAGTGAAAGTACTCTATGTAATACTACAATGGTAGATACCTGTCACTATTCACTTGTTCAACCCACTGAATGTACAACACCAAGAGTGAAACCTTATGTAAACTATAGACTTTGGGTGATAATGGTGTATCAGTGTAGGTGCTTTAATTGTAAAAAATGTACCACTCTGGTGGAGGATGTAGATAATGGACAAAGCTATGCATGCATAGTGGCAGGGGATTTAAGATAAATCTCTGTACCTTCTGCTCAATTTTTCTGTGACTCTAAAACTGCTCTTAAAACCTATAATATATACATAAAAGAAAAAAGAGCAAAGAAATGTTACACAGAACATGTTTTCTAAATCCTAAAATGCACATTCCATATCCCAAAATGACATGGAAATACAGATACATATATACCCACATCCACATTACACACTTCTATATTATTCTCAAATTAATTAAATGTTCCTTGCATTATTTTATAATATAGTGTGTTTGGGATGGAAGATGGAATGGAACCCTTCAATACAGTAAACCATTATTTGCTGAAATTTTAGGTAACACCTAAATTTAGGTAATACCTAAGTCTTCAAAGAGCCATAAAGCTTTGCAAATTTTATTGATTTCTTTGATATAAATTGTAAGTTATTCTATATTGTGTCAGGCAATTCTCAAATGGTTCTAGTTGACTCTGCAATGAGCCACTACATGGTCCAAAGCCCTGTAAGGAATATATCACATCCTTAACCTCAAGCAATAAAGCTCAATCTGTCTTGTTTTAAATTAAACACTCCATAAGTAATTGTACTCAAGATTTGAAAAGTTTTTGCTTCCTTAAACAGCATGAGTGTGCACTAATAGCATTGCCTTTTATAATTCTGAGAATAAAAACCATTTTGGGAACCTGAGAAGAAAGGTAGCCTTCAAGGTGTAGGCCTCAAAGCAAGGAATGAAAACATAAAAGCTGTTATGGTCTGCTTTAGACATCTTAGAATAGAGAATAATGGTCTCAGCTCCTGTCCTCATTCCTCCTGTGATCAGAGCTCCATTTACAGTTAATGGGGACTCCTTCTATAGGAGGCCTTTTAGAGGACGTGTGGATTCTGAACAGAATCACAGAACTGAAAAGTTCCACTGAATGTAGCCTCTGGGCTGCTCACCACTTGCAGGTTCATAGACAAAGGAGAAAAGAGAAATGATACAATCAGCAGGTATTCCAAGGAGCAAGCAGTCTCGAGATGGTATGCAAGTGGCACTACGCAATCCACAAAAATACAATCCCTGTGTCTTAAGGTTCAAGGGCTGGCTACGTTGCTTACTAGCTGCATTAACTTGAAAAAGTTTCTTAGTCTCTCTGAACCTTTCTTTACCTGAAAAAATTATGAGGATAATTCCTGCACTGTATGTCTATGGTGATTTTTATGTGTGAAAAAGTCTATAAGACACCAATGACAGCAGTGGGTTCCTTGAAAATGCTCATTAAGTGGTAATTGTAAGATGATGATGGCAATGACGGCAATGAAGGGGATGCTTGCATGTGATGGCCACTCTTACTAGGACTATTCATAGTCCAGTACGTTATGCTGTTTCCTGCTTCAGAGCTTTCACACACTGTTTCCTATGTTCTTTACCAAAATAACACCTCATCAGTCTGAGAAATTAGCCAAATCATTCATACATCCAGGAAGACTTTCCTGGACTCATCTAATTCAGTTCCCATTTTCTACTCCGCACATCAGTCAGAGCATAAGGTGGGTGGCTGGGTGAAAGCCACCTGGAGCAGTTGAGTTCTAACATGGGATTAAAAGATTCTTGAGTTCCCACATATTCCAGACAGTGTGCTAATGAACAACAATAGATAGAAGGATAAAGAAGACATGGTTACAGGCCATAGTAATGCTCCCATTCTAGACTTAGAGCTACACCAAAATTTTGGCAAGAGCTATAACAGAAGTATATATAAAATTCTGTGTGAGCACAGGAGAAAGAAATTAAATCCTAGGAAGACCAAAAAAGAAGTTTTATGGAACATTTCAGTTATGAAATAACATCTAAATTCGACCTTAAAGGGTGAGCACATGAAGTTCTCTAAAAGGATCTTACCATAACAGCTTGTCATTATCTTTAAATGAAAACCACCTCTAAGGAGTAATGGGGACTCAGACAGCTCCCACTGAAATGGCAATAGATTATTCCACTTGTGAGAAAATAAATGACAAAGAAGCAGAAGGAAGGAGCTTATATTTAGCTTTTCTTTTGTCTCAAGGATGGTTTTTAACCAAAGCAAGTCTCAATAATGTGAGCATAGAAGGCAATTTGGGGTGCTAATACCAGCTCAGGTGGTGGTCAGGTCACATTTGCTTCTCAGTGCTGGGATTGTTGGGTGGTTAAATGAATTGATGATTGCAAATTGCTTTGAAAATACAAAATGCTGAATAAATGCCATGCATTACTGTTGTTCAATATACTC
This sequence comes from Homo sapiens, assembly GCF_000001405.40. Lineage (NCBI taxonomy): Eukaryota > Metazoa > Chordata > Mammalia > Primates > Hominidae > Homo > Homo sapiens. Next base: position 168,526,651 of record NC_000003.12, on the reverse strand, counting down.
ACGGGACAAACTTATCTTCAAACAAAAGGGTCTCTGAAAGATGGACTATGTTTAAAGACATTTAGAAGCGGTCTTTTTAATAGCAAAGATAAAATTTTTAGCTAGATTTATTCTAAAGCCATCATAATGCCTAAGGATAATCTTTTTAAAATGCCATTATAACAGAATAAATCTGAAATTGCTCATAAATGCCACTTACAGAAAACTTGAAAAAAAAATTTAACTAAAACAGTTTTGTCTTCTCACTTAAAAATAAATTATAAGACAAAGAAAGCCTCCCATGGGAATGGTAGCTATGACAGCTGACAGCAAATAAGAAGAAACAAATTAAAGCTACATAACCTATATAAAAATATAGACAGATCTATTTTCAAAGGTTGGTAGAAGAACCTATTAGAAAAAACTCACATTTAATTCAAAGAATCAATCAATCCTTACTTCAAATTGTTTTCATCAATGTTAGTAAGTCTCCACCAAGCCTATCCAACACTTTTTAGAGAATTAAATGGAAATGAGATGTTATATAGTAAAAATAATATTGGTAATAATATTGATAATACCTCACATTGCTCTCATATTTCCTAGTTTATACAGTAAATGTAATTATTTAATACTCAAAACACTGTGAATTGGATAGGACAGGTGTTATCTTTCTAAAATAAAATTAAATAAGCAATCGAGACTAAGAAAGGTTACATGACTAGAAAGTATGGAGTCCCAGAGTTGGCAGGCATCAGAATCCAGGAGATATTTCTAGACTAGTGACCTAGTGACATTATTTTCAAACACTGAGAAAATTGTGCAAAAGCTTTATTCACATACAAACAAAGTTTAATGACAGGCTTTGAAAGAAATGGCCAAAACATAAATCTCTTTTGATATCACTATAGAATATTTATAGTACTTAATTTTTAAATGAAAAAAATAAGAAAAACGTATTTACATAATAAAACATAGAGATAACAATGAATCAGAACAGACTTTCTCAAAATGTGTTCTTTGGACTACTCACGCCATAAGATGCTGGTAAGCGATCCATGTGAAAAAGGTTATATGGTCAAACATATTTTGGAAATGCTCAGGTCTCCCCCTCTTTTTGACTCTCAGTCTATACTAATACGCCAAACTCCTGATAAGTTCTGCAGCAAGAAACCTGTTTGTTTAATCCCATGCTTCTCAAAATTCACATATTCTCTACCTGTGCTTGTTAAACTGGCGTTTACATTCACTCAAGTTAAACAGAGACTACAATAGTCTACGTGACAGAAATACCTGAACTGCAAGCTAAAGTATGGTACATACTTCTGGAGTGACAATTTTAATTGTTATTTTATTAAATAATTAAATATGTAAAACATTATTTTTAAATTAAACAAAGAAAAGGTTATTACTTCAAAGCACTTTTGCTTTTGGAAGGCTGCTGTACCCCACACCCAGATTCCACTTCTTTTCGCCACAAATAAAACTTTCATTGAAAATTTTTTAGAATAAATGGGATCCTGAAATCCTGAGAAAACTGGCAGTTTATACACCTTCTTAGGTTTGAATATGGCCATTAAAAATAACCAGAAAAGGAGAAAAAACAGTCTTTGTTAAAGCTTGTTTGCCCACTGTTATCTTCTGCAGAAATCACGTATAATTCACTGTCATTGTGAATGCAAACTGCAGTTATAGTTGTCCATATTTAAACAACTTCAGGTGTGAATCTTTTCCATCCATTTTAGGGTAAGCATTTAATTATGTCAACTAGTAACTTGCTTAGAGTTTGAGATGAATTAGCAACCACATTAAAAATAAGTTTTCATAATCCCTAATAAACTGGTCGAAAATCTAAATATTTAGAGCCATGGATCCCTTTCTTTCTGAAAGGCTTTGTATTTGAAGATAGACAAGGTATGGTTTATATGATGCTTTTCATGTCTCCAGTTTGAAAGTTTTGAGGCTGGGATTGTCCTGAACTAATAGTGGGTAAAAAAGAAAAGGGAATACAATTAAAATGCGCTAAATGCACTAACATGAGGTCCAGATACCTGCACCCTGGTTCCTATTTTGCCATAAACTAGCTGCCATTTAATTTGCTGGTTCTCAGTATCTTTAGCTGAAACATAACAATATTTGCTGAGATGATCATTCAATTTATTCCAGCCCTAAAGCTTTTAATAGTGAAGATTTGGAGTCAGACTGGAATCAAACACTGCTCCCTTACTCATTAGCTATATTTTCCTCTCAAACATGATATTTAAGCCAACCTGGGACTGACTTTGCTGTCATAGTAAAATGGGGATAATAATATAACCTTTTTCATAGTGTTTTGGTGAATAATGACATCATCAAAACACATAAAATGCTTTTCCTGACATACATGTAGCACTCAAAACACGTCAGCTATTGTTGTAATTAGGACTTAAGAAATCTCTAGTAACATATCTTCTTTTCCTTATAAATTAAAGAGGGGAAATTCTATGACAAGATATATATTATTAATCAAACAAAAATCATACAATTCTATGCTTCTCTTTATATTATTATGATAGCATTATAATTCCTTTCTATATTGGTTAAATGGGATAAGAGTACTGGTACAAGAACTTAACAAATATAGATTTTTGCTAATTAAATTCATGATCTGTCTCAAATTAGTTAATTTAAGCAATTTATTCATCAAGCTACTGTCCCTTTTTTTTTTTTTTTTTGAGACAGAGTCTCACTCTGTTGCCCAGGCCAGAGTACAGTGGCACGATCTTGGCTCACTGCAACCTCTGCCTCCCAGGTTCAAGCAATCCTCCTGTCTCAGCCCCCTTAGTAGCTGGGATTACAGGCATGCGCCACTATGCCCTGCTAATTTTTGTATTTTTAGTAGAGACAGGGTTTCACCATGTTGGCCAGGCTGGTCTCGAACTCCTGACCTCAAGTGATCCACCTGCCTTGGCCTCTCAAAGTGCTGGGATTACAGGCATGAGCCACAGTGCCCAGCCAAGCTACTGTCTTTAGATTTTCTGAAAATCCAAGATTTACCAATGAAAATGAAAGACTTCAGAATTTTCAAAAGGGTTTATGCTAATGGTCAGCTTTCTTTAGATGTTCTGTATTTTAATTGCTGTGAGAGTATGCTCTTATCATTGACATCTTGATACTTACTTAGAGTGTACTGTTCTCTAAGTATAATATAATGCAGTTTATTCCATCTAATTTATTCTACTATACCTATTTCAGACTTTCATAGTGAGTTTTAGAGATATGTGTCTAATTTCCCCCTTATCATTAATTAAAGATTACATCACAGAATGTTGGGATGTTCTACAAAAGTAAAGATCATTTCTGAAGGCTGGAACACGCATATGCACACTCATACACACACACATTCATATATACACATATACATATCAAATCTAGAGACTCATTAACTAAGACCTAGGTTTTTCCAATAAATGATCCTCAAAATAGTAAATGGTGTCTCACACACACTAGGCACCCAGTAACCAACCAGTAGTTGAACTTATATTGTGGGAAGGGGCAAATATTTTTAAAAGAGGCACCAAATCAATAAAACTAAAGAAGTGGTGGCTGGCAGGCAAGAAAAAGGATAATAAAAATATAGTGTATGTAGAGATTAGAAAAAAAAAATGAGTGGGGCCTGCTAATTGCTGATAAGGAGATAGAAAAAAATACTGATAAATTATTAATGTGTGGCTTGTGATTTCACACACAAACTATAACCTTTAGGGCCTCAATCAATCTGAAAGAAATTGTTTAACATTAATAAATACATAAATGTAAGAATTAAAAGGAGGGATACAAGTCTTGTTTTGAGCAACAAAAGATTCTATAATAGGAGGAAGGCAGGGGATTTACTTTTTCACAGATAAAATTTTTGTATGGCCTGAACTTTAACTATATGTGATAATTTTTTCCTTTCCATTCCTTTTCCTTTTCCTTTCCTTTCCTCTCTTCTCTTTCTCTTTAGTTATTTTAAACTTGCTAACAAAACCTAGTTTTCAAAAAGAAATAAAATATTTTTAGGTGTTACTGTCCTCATTAGCTGGTTTCTTTAAACAAATACATTTACTTCAATAAATATGGAAAATGTTAAATTCGGGGGTGTTAAATTCAGGGATGAAGTCTGTCATGGATAGACAAAAACTGAATCCAATTAGTCTCTTTCACAAAATAACTGACAGAGGGAATAGGAGAAATCAATAATTTTAGTACCTTATTGTGAGCATTTAAGTCAACTTCTTGGGAGTTTAGGCAACTGCAAAGTTGGTTTGTAAGGCCTCCCTCACTTTTAACACCAAGTGCAAGTTTGGGGATTCCCAAAGCCATTCTTATGATAAATAATTTGCTAGAAGGACTCATAGAACTCATAGAAACTATTATACGTATGGTTACAGTTTATTACAGGGAAAGGATACAGTTCAATATCAGCCAAGGGATGAAGGGCAAAGGGCAGAGTCTGGGGAAGTACCAAATCTGGAGTTGCCATGTTTCTCTCCCCACAAAGTCAGGATGTATTACTTTCCTGGCATTGAAGTGTGACAGCTGACAGAGTATTGCCAGCCAAGAAAGCTTACCCAAGTCTCAACATTAAGAGTTTTTATTGGGGCTTCATTGTATGATTGCCTGATTATCCACATGGTTGATTTCAATTTCCAGGTTGACTGATACCTCGTGACTCAAAGCTGCCATCCTAAACCACCTGTCTTTTTCATAGCACATTTATGACCACAAATTAAATAATAAATATAAAAGTACTTCAAAATATTCTAATTATACCACAGAGAAAACATTTATATTAGCTTTTTTCCTATAGATTTTCTTTTAAAAATATCAGACAAGTTGTAACCAAAAAAAAAAAAAAAAAAGGAGGCGTTATGGCATAATGTAATTCAATTATACTTTAAAAAGCAGAACTTATTTTAAATTGTTCACGCGTGACAAGATGACATTTTTGTAATAAAATATTAATGTTAAAAATTAATAAGTAAAATGTCAGTGAAATCCATTACAATATGATGACACAAAATAACAAAAGCTATTTTTATTATACCTAGCACAATATCTTTTAAGTCCAAAGAAAGAAACAACATTATTGTACAAGATGTAATGACTTCAGCTTCTATCACATCTTTTGATTGTTCATCAAGAGGCTGCCTTTGGCTATTTATACTCTATTTGTACTGTGGGGAAACTGTTAATTTTTAGGAAGGAGAAGGTTGATCTGTCTGAGAAGAGGTAATATAAAAAAGGGAGAAATTTCAATTTAAAAATTTAGCAGGAATCACAGAAGAGTACATTGCCTTGAACCATGATATAACTACAAGTTTCAAGTCATCCATAAATGTATTTATGCCATGTGGTACATATACACTAGGAATACTATAAAGCCTTTAAAAAGACAAAATTACGTCTTTTGCAGCAACATGGATGCAGCTGGAGGCCATTATCCTAAGCTAATTAATACAGGGACAGAAAAACAAATACTACATGTTCTCATTTACAAATGGGAATCAAGCATTGAGTACACATAGACATAAAGATGAGAAAAACAGACACTGGGGAGTACTGGAGGGAGAAGGTAGAGAAGGGGGCAAGGGCTGAAAAACTACCTCTTGGGTACTATGCTCACTACCTGGATGATGGGATCATTTGTACCCCAAACCTCAGCATCACAGAATATACCCATGTAATATACCTGCATATATACCCCTTGGATCTAAAAGAAAAGTTGAAATTTTTTTAAATGTATTTTTCCCTGGTTAATAACATTCTGTTAGAGCTAGCAACTTTGCATTATCATTCCTTCCTTTAACCTGCATAGAAATCTAGTCAATGCTACAGATGATAACAGCTTACAATAGAATCTCTAAATGGAGAAGTGCCCTAGGGTGAGATATAAATAAAATGCATGGCAGAGTGGGAGAGAATACATGCATGTCTGCTTGGGGAAAAAGAAAAAAAAAATCCAGCAATGAAATGAAATGAAAGACACTCAGTGGGCTGGTAGTGCTATCATTGCACCTTTAGATATGCGTTGTCTGAAGTAGCATATAGAAAGGAACGGCTTCAGAGCTAGGGCTTTTTAAGGTCTTTGTCCACTCATGGGTCCAAGACATGAAGACAACACCAACCTAGACAACACCTGTCCAAAAAATGACAGCATAAGACCCAAGCTTATATCTAGACTTTGAATTCCAAACAACACAAAGACTAAGGATTCTTGTCCATTAATAATGATTACTTGGAACCCTAGGCCACCCTGGGTACTGCTGTTTCTGAGACTAGGGTTTTCTTTGTTCCTTCAATTTTCTAAAACACAGCCATAACTTCCCAACAGATTCCAGCAGCATTCTCACTTTTGCTTAAGCAAACTAAAAGTGGTGTCTCATGCCTGAAATCTAAGACCCCTGGCTAAAACAGCTTCTGTATACAAGAATTACAGACAACCACAGTGCTGACATCTTTGGTCAAGAACCTGTTAAGCTAACCAATGCAATTTTCTTCACGTACTTAACAAGAATCTCAGTTCTGTAAGAGATCTAAAAGGTATATGAAGACATGGCTTCTGTCTCCAGTAAACTTTAAATATAGCCAAGGAGACAGAAATCACACATGAGGAATAATCACAGAATTATGAATAACTAAGTTACTAAGGTAAAAAAACAAATCCAATTTTCTGTGCAATAGCAGGTCTGGAAAGGGAGAGAACAAAATAGAATTTCAAAGACTTTCAAAAAGAAGAGCAGGATCGAGTATGGACTATAATCTAAACAAATGGTCCCTCTCATTAGAAGTATATAGAAATGAATTTCACTGAAGAAAAATACCGGTACATACACTTAAACAAAACTAATAAATTCCCATGATAAATGGCTTTAGAGGTATATAATGAAGTAGAAAAAAAAAGAGTTTCCATTGATAAAGACACATTATTAACACACTGGCAGTATTCAGGTTTGCTAAAAATGTTCCACATTGAAAATGCTACCTCTGCTTATCATCAGGCATACCTACCTTGTCCAAAGGGCTTTTCCCATCTTCAGAAAACAGATGAGCCTGAGGATAGCGTGGAAAGGCTACAGGACAGATCCACAGGAATGAGAAGACGGAAAAGAGGACCTACAAGAGAGGAGTAAAAGCGATGAGCTCGTTAAATGTAAGAAAAGAGAAGAGATATAAAAACAGCTTTAAAAAGTGGCATTTCAAATATTTCAGAAGAGATTTGCCATTGATCCAAAATATCAAGTCACAAATAATGACAAACGAAAACAATGAGTATTTACTTTTAAACCATTATGTCCTGCTTTTTGAAGGTAAATAAAGCCTCTTAATTTTCCAAGAGTTTTTTTTTTTTTTTTTTTTTTTTTTGCATACAATTTGTTTTAACTTTCCCCTCAGACATACTTTTCTATAACTCAGGGATTTTAAGTATGGCTTGATTGAAGGATGGGACCACTTACTGGGGCATCAATTTACAAAGGTTAAGAACAGAACGGTAAATCTGGGGAGATTGAGGAAATGTTACTTAACAGGTTTCCTCTAAACCTAAATATTGTATATGATTAAGACATACATCGATAAACAGAACTACTATACAATTTATCATCTGACCTAGGTATTCTTTTGAAAGTTATAGGGGTGATACAGTTTGTCTCTATCCCCACCCAAATCTCATCTTGAATTGTAGTTCCCATAATCCCCATGTGTCATGGGAAGGACCCAGTGGGAGGTAACTGAATCATAATGGCAATTACCCCTATGCTGTTCTTGTGATAGTGAGTTCTCACAAGATCTGATGGTTTTATAAGAGGCTTTTTTCCCCCTTTGCTCAGCACTTCTTTCTCCTGCCACCATATGAAGAAGGACATGTTTGCTTCCCCTTCTGCCATGATTTTAAGTTTCCTGAGGCCTCTCCAGCCACGCTGAACTGTGAGTCAATTAAACTTCTTTCCTTTATAAATTACCCAGTCTTGGTATGTCTTTATTAGCAGAATGAGAATGGACTAATACAAGGTATATTATTAATAATTGTATTAGGACAAGGCGCAGACCACATAAGCATATAGTCACCTTATTGATAAGCCTCTCAGAGAAGAAGGGGGAGTAAGACTCCCAAAAAAGCATTCTAAGAGTAACAGTAGTTAGGACAGGTATTTTTTAGATGATTATTGTGCAAGTCTGGGGTGGGAGCTACATTGCTGGGGAAGAAAGGTACTTGTTCTTGAAGCCAGTCTATGTATGCCTTCCCTTCCCCCACCACAGCCGTCCCTGTCAAAATGTGTTGACCACATATTTCAAGAGTATTGACTTTGAGGGACACCAAAAATTATTAGTCTGAATTTACAATATAAAAAATAAATAATGAATATTAAAAAGAAATTCTAGAAAGGCAAGATATTGTTTTCTTTAAATTTCCCATGTGCATAACTAAGCTTTTTTTCTTCTCACAAATATTTCTTCTTGAAATCCTTCTTCAACTGTGTGCTCACTGAGATTTTATCAGAAGTGTGACACCCCCATTTCATTATGCTCTTAAATCCTGAAGCTACTGAAGAAAGCCCCTTACATATTCACAGCTATACCAAGCAAGGCGGAGCCAGGAGGCTCTGGATATGGTCCACGTTACCTTAACCAAAGAAAACATTTGACACTCACCTGATTCAAACACAGTGAACTGAGGTCGATGTGGGAGTTAGTGGTGGGATGTACTGAATCATCCAGTTTGATTACATTTAGCTGCTGATGCTAGGTAATTTCCAAACCACAACTGGAGTTGTTCTTTCTAGATTTAGCCAGAGACAAAGAGACTGTGTGTGTGGAAACATGTAATTCGCCCCCATAGATAACGAAGGACTCAAAGGTCAATTTGACAGCAAAAGAAATCTCTGAGGAGAAAGTGTAAACTCCACTTGGCTCTAAAGCAAGGAAGCGATCCCCCTGTGGTGAGGAGATCAAGATGTGATGAGACTTGCTTTTCTCATCTCTCCCCTGTGAAGAGGGAAGCAAATGAGTAATAATGGGAGCGTGCCTGATGATTACGGTGGCAATCACCTGAGCGGTAAGCAAACAAACGTGCTTCCAGCCAGAAGAAGGCACATGGCAGGGAGACCTCCGGTGCCAGAAGCCTTCAATTTCACTCACTAATAGCTCTGTAGAAAATCCAAATCAGGAATGGTAGAGGTTGGGTTGCTGGCTTGTGCCCTCCCTTGGTGACAGCTCCGGGCAATTTTACCATCCAGCTGTTCTGTTTTTCAAAACTAAAGTAATTGGAATTGAACTACAGAGCTTTGCTAAAACCCTAGCAATTAACAGTGCGATTTCCCAAATTGCACTGTAATGGGAAAGTGTCCGTCAATCAACCCAGTGAAATAACACATTTTCTCACCAGATGTGAGATTTAATATCTTCATAACTCTCTGGATTTACCACTTATGAATTGTCAGCCTCACCTCGAGCATTGAGAATTAATGGACTACATCCCTGCTATGTAGGTATAGTTTACAGCTGTAAAATATCCCCACCTTCATTTCAGATATATTTACCAAAATGATTTTCTTTAAGATGTAATCAGAAAACATGCTAGATGGGAAAATTTCATTTCTACTTACTATGTTATATTATCATTGTCTAGATAAATACAATTCCCAGAGTCTCAGCCTAGCACACTCTTGTGACAGGAATAACCAGTTTATCATCAGCAGTGAACAATAAATTGCAGTGTGAAGATGCAGCAGCTTTAAGCTTTAAACTTTAGAATATCCTCTATGGTTTTCTGGATAAAGACTGAAAATATTCTAAGTTTCTAAATGTGTCATACATGTACAGTTTCTGCTGACCATCTTGGACTGAAATAATAATTAAAATAACCCCATATATGTTCATTTTGTCACTATGATTATCAGGTAGGTCAGTTCTCATTTTAACTTTCACTCCAATCAAACATCTGAGCCATGGCAAGGATGAAGTTGCCTCCTGAAAGCAATCTGGGAGTATTCCTGTGATGCCAGAACCTCAAACCTCCCAAGTTTGGAAACTCATTCTTGCTTCTACCCACAGAGGGGGACTATTGTTAACAGTGAAAGTCACTTTACAGGTCTCAAATGGACTTAACTCATTTAACAAATTATTCTTTGCTGTGTTTTGGGGCCTTTGTAGTAGTAATATAAGCACAGTGTCAAGGAGAAAAAGAGAAGGAGCCAGGAGAAGCTTCAGATTTGGGCATGGACAGTTGTAGTGGCATTTAGGGAAGGTTCCCTAGAGGAGACCATGTCTGAGACTGACTTTATATCACAAGGGAAATATGCTGTCAGATATTGAGGTTGTCCAAATTATTAGAGTTATGTTAGAATAAAAACTCAGAGAATGTCCACATTATAAGGATATTTAGAGACCATCCATTTCATTTCTTAATTTAATAGATTCATAAAATATTCAACAAAAACTGTCAGTCATACTACTACATCAGCTGATTCAACTCACTTGGCATACATGTTATCCTAAGTAGTCTGTCATTCATTCTCAACTAATATCATTTCATTCTCCTTCCCATATTAGTTGGCTTTAGAATATGACAGTTTTTTAGGGAGAGGGGCAAAAGAGAATATTAGAGGACATGAAGAGATCACCTTGTCTAAATAATAAAGAAATTTGATATATCTCTGTATGATTTATTATATCAGAGATTAAACTCACAAAGCAATAATTACATATTAAGAAAAATTCATAGCCCATAAAGCCAGACTGATGAAATACAACTGAGATTGGTAAAAATCAATTTAAATGATTATATGAATCCCCAACAATATAGAAATAAATTATATTTAATAAATAGTGTTGGGCCAATGTGATAGCAGTATGGAAAAAATTACCTTAGAGTCATTTCTCATACCCCAAATTGTACTGTATTCCAGCTGAGTGAGAGTAAAACGTTTTATTAAAAACTAGAGAATAAAGAACAGGTCTTCTCCAGCGGTGGAGAGGAGATAAATTCCTGATACTAAAGAAATGGAGTGATTAGGATCTGAACAGAGACAAGATGGATAAGTACAGATATGGAAAACTAAAGCATCCAAACTGTAACATGTAAAAAAAAAAAAAAAGCAACATGAGACCATGCAATAAATACATCATTAAAATATACTGTTATATACATACATATATATAGTACATATATACATATGGATGTATATACACACACATCTATTTTTGCTTCCTGTTTTTGTGACTATTCTCTGTTAGGCCTAGAGGTCTTAGTTCCCAAGGGAAGAATGCTTCCATGAGGAGACCCAGCAATGATTCCACTGAACTGGAAGTTAAGACTGCTGCCTGGCCACTCTGTACTCTTCCTGCCTTTGAATTAACAGACAAAGAAGAGAGTTGACAAGGGGGATTGATCCTGACTATAAAAAGGAAATTGGACTATTAATCCACAATGGAGATAAGGAAGAGTATGTCTGGAATACAGGAGATCCTCTAGGGCCTTTCTTAGTATTACTATGCCTTATAATTAAAGCCAATGGAAAAACACAGCAATCTCATTCAAGCAGGACTAGTAATGGCTCAGACCCTCTAGGAATGAAGATTTGGGTTTACCGCACGAGGGTACTTTCTGAAGGCAAAGGGAATACAGAATAGTTTGGAAAACGGTCGTTATAAATACCAGTGACCAGTAACAGAAGCCAGGAATGTAATTGTCATGAGTATTTCCTCCTTATTTTGCCATGAATGCATTTGTATGCCAGATATATAAGAGATATACGAGAGGAAAGGAAGTAAAAATGTTTTCTTTCCTCTCTTGTTCCCCCATCAACTAAAATATGATTTATTGAATTTATATTATAGTATTTTAGTACTCTTAATTTTCTATAATAGTCTTTAAGTCATAGGATATCAAACAAAGAGTAAACACCATTCAAGTACTTTACTTTCTCATCTAGGAATCGAATTTTCAGTTGTATTCAGGATAGTTGTGTCATGTTAGACAGAATATAGCCTTGTTGTCATATTTCAAAGATTAGGTATGGTTTAAGAAGATCTGTATGGGTGCCTAGTTGATGAAAGGTGGACTTGTGATAACTAATTTTATGTGTGAATTTGACAAATCTCTCAGCTTAAACAATTTCTGGGTGTGTCTGTGAGGGTGCTTCAGGATGAGATTAGCATTTGAATTGGTGGACTCAGTAAAGTGGATTGCCCTTCCTAAAGCAGGTGGCATCATCCAATCCACTGAGAGCCTCAACAGCACAGAAGGTAGAGGAAGGAGGAAGTCACCCCTTTTTGCTTCCTGCCTGGTTGAAATGTAACATCTCATCATCAACCCTGGGACTGGGAATTACACTATCACCTCCCCTGGTTCTCAGGCCTTTGGGATGGGACTAAATTGTACCACTGGCATTCCTGGGTGTCCAGGTTCCAGTGATTACATTATGGAACTTCTCAGCCTCCATAATCACATAAGCCAATGCCTCATAATAAATCTCCTTTTGTAATAACTTACTGATTCTGTTTCTCTGGAGAATCCTGACCAATACACACACTGACATAACCAAAGCAACAGTCAGGCAGCACTTTGCAGAGGCTGCTGCCCCCTTCACTTTGCAGAGGCTGCTGCCCCCTTTCTCTGGTGCCTGGCCCTCCAGGTTGTTGTTGCTCCCACTACCATCTGTTGTCAAACACCTAGTCAGTTACACTCACTTATTTTGCCAGTTTGGAAAACTAGGAAAAGCCCATTTATTCGGAATTTGAGTTTGGGATCTATGATTTCTCTATTACTGAAGTCATTAAAAAGTTGTTTGTTCTTTCTAAAAGGCAATCTGGAAATATTTAACAAGAGTTGAAAAGCTATTAGTATTATTTTATATAATAATTTCACTTTAGGGATTTTATTTCAAAGAGAACCAACATGTACCCACTCCCCCCTTAAAAAAATTTACTCATAATAGAGAAAAAAGCAGGAAAAATGTAAATACCCAACAGCACAGAAATATCCAGGTAAACTAAGACACAACAACAGAAGAAACTTCTACGTAGCTATAACAAATGAAAGTAGGTTAGGTGCCTAGTTTGATGAGAATGCACAAAAACAGTTAATGAGAAAAGTTACAACAAGTAAGAAAAACTCCTTAAAGGTCTAGGGATATACAGACAGAGATACGAAGTGAATGTGAAGTGATGTTGACTGAGTTCAATATGTATGAAATATGTTTCACATAAAGGTGTTTAAATCATAATAAAAATGTCTAAAAGGAGGCTATACCTGTGTGCAGCTCCTTATGTTCGTTTGGGGGATTGACCCACATAATTTAAAAAGGTAGTTTTGACTACTTGTTTCTTGAAGACACCCCTTTTAGAGTCCACATAATCCTTTTTGTTTGTTTCTTTTCACTATTTCCACAGCCTGAGAATCAAAAACTTCTTCCCTTCATCAAATCAAAATCTCTTGAGTTTGTTGAAAATGTGTCTTCTCAATTCCTTTAAAATTGGAAAAGATGCAATAACCAATCTACATTCATGTAAAGATATTGCTTATCTTAGAAGCCAGTAACCAAATTCCAATATTCAATGTCTTTACAAGTCAGGGAAGCAGGGGTATATAATGGTTCAAGGCACAGGCTTTGGAACAAGACACACCTGGGTTTAAATCCTGCCTCCAAATCCAAGCCACTTAGCCTTTCTGATTCTCAGCTATCCTGTGTGTTAACAAAGGGGATAATGTTTTTTGTTTCATTAGGAATGTTAGGAATGTAAAGGATCTAATAATTCTGAATTGCTTGGTGTAGCATGTAACCCATAACAAGTTATTATGGCAGTAGTGGTTATTTTTATCAAATCATTCAAGCCGTAGCCTTGCTTTCCTATGAATATTCTGATAAGTCTTAGTTTTCTTACTACAATAATTCTTTTGTCTTCTTAGGGCCTTCTCTAGATTTTTCTTTTTTCCTCCTGCTTTCAAAGGGTGACTTTCACGATAGGGTGGCAAGCATTCTGTAATATTAGCGTCCAACACTGTTAGCATTCTGAAAAGTGAGGCAAAGATTCCATAATAATAACTGTTATGATGAAGGTATGAAAGACCTTAACTTTCAGGAATCTGTTTTACAGAAATGATAAATATTCTAAAGTCTGACTCTGAAGTGGGCTAAAAGAAAATCTAGACCCTGGAAACCATGGTATAACCAGAATTTTTAAATAGATCTTTATCATCACATTAACAAATCAAGTAGGCTATAATTTTGTCCACATACATTCTTTACCTTCTAAGTATTTGGAAAGAAAAGTAACTAGAAAATATAATGTGATATAAAAATATAAGTGCAAAATTATCAATTAAATTTATGTATTTACTTACCATTTATCAAATTCCTGTTTTTAGTGAACTCACAGTAGCCTAACATTTTTTCTTTAATGTTTTAATAAGTAACATACATTACTTTTGCATATGAACTTAAAAATCATTTGATAGATCAATTTTTTCTGTATTAAGAAAAATTAAATGATTATAAAGACTCCAATTGACATTAACTTCCAGTGACTAGAAGAGAGTTGTGACATCTCGTATCACTAACAAGGGTAAGAAGACCCAAGGCCCTTTGGAGGTAAACTTGCTTCTTACATCAAAATGGAAGTATTGGAAGTATCATAGAGATTTTCCCTAAAATTGAAAGGCATGTCCACTTAAATTTTAAAATAATGATAAAAACAACAATGGAGACATTCTGGTTCTTTTCAGTTAATCTTCAGTTTTGTTTGGAGATTTTAACAGAAAATTTTTAGAAGATTAATTTAAGTTTTGTTAGATTTGTGACTGGGAGTAGGGGTGAGTGTTTCCTCCCAAAACAGTGTACTCACCGACAGAGACTTACAGGAGGTAAAATACACTCATTACTACTAAGAGTCAGAAACATGATCGAACACTTAAAAAATATGTGAAACCAGGTATATTTGATACACAAACTAACAACATATTTGTTCTGTGACTGAGTAAAAAATAAAAAGTGACAAAATTTATTTTTGGCAATTGAAAAAAGAAGAGGGAGAATGAGTGCCATCTTGTGGAGAGACCTACACCTACCACGTCCAAGTTCTCTGCCCTAAGCTTTGATTTCTTTTTTTCCATACAAAGCCCATCAAAGTACAAAGATTTTTCCAGACAGACTTTCCTTTGTCTCTACCTACCCTTCTCTTTTCTTCATATAAAGGAAATGCTTTATTTTGTCCAATGGATAGTGCATTGTGAGCTGGGTCAAGGCAAAGGAATACCCCAGGAAAAATCAATACTGTGTCTGACCATTTTAAGGAAGAATTATTCAGAGGGATGTAAAGACATTTTACAATCTAGTATACAATTACCAAAGGAGCAATATTCATTTGAAAAAGGACTGTTCATAAAGGTGAGCAAATAACTTATACACGTGACAATCTGGGTCCCTCAAGAATCTCATCTGTCCTATCACCAGAGAAATTGAGGCAGATTTAGCATTTCCATTTCATAATCATGGGTTCATCAAATAGATGTATTCAAAGCCCCATTCATTTAGCTTGTATTGGCCATATTTAACCTGACGGCTCCATTAGAAAGGAGTTTACTTTGAGTATAAAAGATCATCTGCTAAATCACATAGAAATAATAACTATTTGATTATACTGGTGATAATACTAATGATAATAATAGCAACTATGGTTTATTGAGTACATCGTGACAGGTGATTGAGAGATTATAAGGACCTTCTTAACAACCTTGCAAGATAAATATTACATTATTTTACAATTAAGGAAGTTGAATCTCAGAGAAGTTAGGCAAATTGCTCAAGATCAGAAAGCTAGAAGGAGCAAAGTTGGTTGCAATTTAAATTAAAGGTCAAGACTTTCCTTGACACCAAGTTTACTTTCAGGTCTGAAATTTTTGAGACTTCAGAAGTAACTTCAGTCACAAACATACCATTTTGAAAAATGAAAGCCTTCCAAAATATGGCCTTAAATCCCATTTTAATTATTCTGGCTATGTGCCACTTTCCCAACATCCCAGCCAGGACTAGGATTATGAAAATCACTGTATGCTCCACTGAAAAACAGTTTCATTAGCATAGAATTCAATCTCGTTGTTCTTTGGCAGGAGACAAAAATTACCCTCAATTGTAAAAGCTTGTTAACTAAAGAATGCTTTTCAGTTAACTATATCTTTTCAGCATTCAATAAATGGTAGTTAACTATGAACCATAAAATGATTCAATATTAACCCCTACCTCAAAGCAGAATTTTCCATGTTTCAAATTCTGTATCTGATCATGAAACTATTTTTCATAAGAACAGAAATACCTATATATTAAAATATATATATAAAATTAATTTTCAGTAACAAATTGAAAATGTATAATTCTAGTTCTTTCACCTTTGCTGAAAATATATGTGAAGCCTTGTTTTTGTGGTTGTCATTGTGTCTTTTTTTACATGTGCAATCATCTACCTTAGCAATTTTTAATAATAGAGCACAGTTAGGTAATTAGCATAGGAAATTATTAAAATTATAAATATTATTTATAGCAACAGCATATTTTCTGTTGTTTCTTTACACCAAAGCAAGATAGAAGGATCTCCTTTGAAAAAAAAAAATCTGTAGATACCAGGAAAATGTTAAATTTTGTCTCAAGGTATAGATACCAATACAGACAAATTAGATAATACATTTTTTTAAATTCACACTCTTTTTATTTTATAGTTTTGACCATTTAAACAATTTATTCAGGAATTTCCTGGTGCTTCTTTTTCTCATCTGATTGGCATAGTGATCTTTAACATTTTAGAGTACTGGTTTTCAACTGGTGAGTTACAGACCACTGTAGATATGTGGAATGATTTGTAAGGAATCTAGAATTCCAGTGTGTGAATGTATTTGATAGGTTGGATATATGGTAGGTTATACACTCTAATACATAAACCATACATAGGTAGATACAAATGTTTATAAAATGCATGTTGTTGTTTTAATACAGTGGAAATTCATTTTAAGGTGTATTAGCCTCATCATCATTATTCTGCATATTTTTAGTTAACTACGATTAAACATACAACTATCACAGATGGAGTCAGGTTGAGAAACACTGTACAGGGATGACAGATTTTCTTTTTCCTTGGTGGATATCATTTCAATGTCACCTAGAAAAAGCAAACACATCAGGCTGCCCAGGTATAACTTGATAAAAATAAAAGAGAACAGAAAGAAATGTCATGTATCACCAACTAGAGTGGCACTGCCTCATTTTCTTTTCTATTTCTTCTTCTGAGATGACTCTAAGATCCAGCCAGCTCAAATATCACAATCTAGCTAGTCAAATGTGGTAGTAGTCATTATGGATTAAAATACTCAAGGACTAAGTAGTCCCAATATTTTTTCCATTGCCTTCACACAATGCCCCAAATTAATATTTGGAAGCATTTTAAAATAAAAAAAGAAAAACACCCATATTATCCCCAACTTTTTTCTCCTTCACCCTTTTTGTGAAATCATGGACTTTCAGTTGTTTTCTCCCATTATTCAGGAAGTGATCAGTGAGAAAGTGCCAGAAGAACCAGAGCAGCGGCCACAGTTTGGTTCCGGCAGGAAGGCATAACTGAGCAGCCTGGGCATTTTCAACCAAGGTGCAGAGACCACTGTGCCTTCCTGCTACCATGTGAAACTTCAAAAAGAATCATTTCAACGTAAAAGTTCAGTTGGTGGCTCTGTAGTGAAATAAATTATTTCAGCTGTTACATTTTTGAAGTTACTCTATCAGAATTTTAAATTCTTTTCCATACATCCCCTAAGGGCATGTGAGCTGAACCAAGCCTTCTTTCTGTTTTATGATTTCTAGGCTGACAGGAGTTCACAGCAAAAATAACTTCCGAACATCAATCAAGCTCTGTCCGTCTGCTCTTTCATTCGACATCCTTCGTTTTCATTGTGATAATTTACTCTTTTTACATTTAAAACATGACACCCAATACAAATCACTCATTAAGAAGTTCATACGCAATGCAAACCTTATGAAATGTAGAAAATAGTAGAAACTGGAGGAAAAAAATGAAAGAGCGTAATATACATTCAGTGGAATTATCTCTTATTGTACTTAAAGGGAATAAATACAATTCCAGGATGCTTTTGTACTCTTATTTTAAATAAAGTAAATAAAATGTCTTTAACCAATGTGAAAGGGAGAGAGGAGCCATATTACCAAACAGAATGATCTGGCATAAAAATGGAAAATACTAGGCCGGGTGCAGATGCTCATGCCTGTAATCCCAGCACTTTGGGAGGCCGAGGCGGGTGGATCACCTGAGGTTGGGAATTTGACACCAGCCTGACCAACATGGAGAAACCCCATCTCTACTAAAAGTACAAAATTAGCCAGGCGTGATGGCGCATGCCTGTAATCCCAGCTGCTCAGGAGGCTGAGGCAGGAGAATTGCTTGAACCCGGGAGGCGGAGGTTGCGGTGAGCTGAGATCGTGCCATTGCACTCCAGCCTGGGCAACAAGAGTGAAACTCCATCTCAAAAAAAAAAAAAAAAAAAAAAGGAAAGGAAGAATGTCATAATCTTCTTAAGATTTTCCTAGGTATTTCATAAAATTCCTTAATCTGAAACTTTGGTAGAGAGCCAAAGTGAAGTGGTTACTTCTTGAAACAAAATATTTATCAAACTTCAGGTTGTAACCCATTACTGGGTTATAAAATCAAACTAATGGCATAAGTTAATAAAATGAAATAGAATAAGACAGATCAGAAAATATAGGAGGACATTGCACATAGCAAAGGTAAAATTTGGCGCTTTTTTCCAGCTAAGAATGTGTGTGTGCTAGCTAGCAATATAAAATGCAATATTTACTATGTAACAGATCAAAATGTTTGAAAACTGCACTAGTATATTTTACATCATCATAAAGGTACATAGCAAGCCAGGTTATAGTGACAAAACAATATCTACACCTTCTCTGTCTATACTCAGAAGATAATGATTTGCAAGGTGTTTGGAAATCCTTCTATACCAATATCATTGTAAATCTTGCATAGTGTATATTACTGAATCCAAAGAAAATGTGCAAAACCCAGCCAGGCACTTTAAGAAACAGATTAGTTAAGAATCTTAACTCTTTACTCTTATTTTAGCTAATATATCTCTGGTTATTAAAATATAAATCAGTGTTGCCAACAGACTTAATTAAGATCACATTTGATATGAAAAGGAAAACACAGCATGTTTTCATGGCCACAAGCACACTTCCCATCTTTGTACATTCTCAACAATAGTTAGAGGGTTTCCATTCATCAAAAAGTCTTAACAATCTGCACTGGGAGCCAGTTAACAATCACCAGACCACCCATGTTTCTCAACATGCATGGAATCTAAATTATTCTAGTTTTTAACAAAATATTTGGTTTAATAATGACAATGATGAAAAATAATATGATATGCAGCAAAATTAATAATGGCAACATTTGTTGGGTACAGCCACATTTATAATGCCTGTAACACTAGGGACTATAAATATATCCCATTTAATTTTCGAAACAACACTGTTTAGCAAACTCTATACCTTATATTATATGAAAAAAATGCTCAGAAAAATTTAATAATTAGTGGGAATGTTTCAGGATTTAAACTCAAAAGCCAATGTTCATCTCATTACCTCTTAGGAAAATGAGAACTAACTTAGAAGCTGTTCCTTCCTATAGATTAATATTCTAGGTTTCTTAGTATCTTAGGGGGAAAAGAAGAAAAGAAGGAATAAGGGAGGGAGGGAGGGAGGGAGAGGGAGGGAAGGAGAGGAAAGGAGAGAGAAAGCAAGAAAGATGTACGATTTTATGAAACTATGGTGAAATGTCAGAACCTGAGGGTATGTATTTTTTATAATCACTAATAAAACAATGAATATGTAATCTTTATTTGCTATAGCTCTATTTCAAATATGGATCTTGGTAAATGATAAGTAACTACAAATATTCACAAAACAATAAAATGTTCATTCATAATTATCTTCCAGAAGAGAAAACAGAAGAAAAAAGTGAGGGGAGAAAATGGTTAAGGAGGAAGGGAAACTGCAGGTCAAAAAGCTTTCTCAACAGTGTTGAGAAGGGACTGAGAACCCCACCAGCTATTTTCATCCCAGACCTCTAGCACTCACATGGCCTGAGCTATGATTAGTAGAGCTATTCCTCTACATTCAAGCTTTAATTCATGTGGATGAAGAGGTAAAAGGTAGCCTGGTATGAAGGAGATTGTGTTGGCTGAGAGGTGAAATCAATCTGGGTTCACAATCGGTTGTACTTTTCTCTGGCCGTGGGACTTCAGGAAAGTTAATTGAGTATGAATTAAATGCAGAAATTTTTGAGGAAGTGCCTAGATAATTGTTTGGCATTTAAACACTCACAAACTGGTAGCTTTTATTAATTAAAAGAGAGTTAATAGATAATTTAAATCATTAAAAAGATTTACTAACTCAAAAGCTGTTCCTATATATTAATATTCTAGGTTTCTTAGTGCCTTAGGGAAAAAAGAAGGAAAGAAGGAAGGAAAGAAAGAAGGAATAAAGAAAGGGAGGGAGGGAGGGAGGATGGAAGAAAATGTATTAACTCCTAATATCTAATCTAAAGATTAGTTGATTGCAACCTACCAAACAGCATTTTCCACAGTTTTCTTATCCCTACCTCACTGTCATTATATTTGCCAGTCTAAGTACCTCCTATATTATGGTTTTCCTAATATTTTTTCTTTAAAACAACATTAGTTTTACTTGCATAATTGTTTTTATCATAAATAGGAAACCAGGCATAAAATGTGAAAGATATTTTTTAAAAGAAATATGTAACCATGAAAATAAAAAACAAATTGTTCATCCACATTAATGCTGTAAATCATAAAGAGCCATACTTGAGGAAATTCTATTTGGCAGATTCAGGGAGAAAAGCCATGAATGCAGTAGAAAAACATAGTTTATTTCAACAAATACTGGAACCACCGGATATACAGTCATACCTTGCTTTATTGCATTTTGCTTTATTGTGCTTCACAGATACTGTATTTTTTACAAATTGAAGATTGAAGATTCATGGCAACCCTGCGTCAAGCAAGTCTATGGGTGTTAGTTTTTCAACTACATGTGCTCACATTGTGTCACATTTTGTTAATTCTCATAATATTTCAAACTTTTTCATTATTATTATATCTGTTACAGTGATCTGTGATCAGTGATCTTTAATGTTACTATTGTAATTGTTTTGGAGCAACACAAACTATGCCCATATAAGGTGGTGAATTTCATCAACAAATGTGGTATGTGTGTTCCAATCACTCTATTGACTTGTTGTTCCCCTTTTTCTTTTCCTTTCCTCAGGCCTCCATATCCCCTGAGACCCAGCAATATTGAAATTGGGCCAACTAATAATCCTACATTTAAGTGAATGTAGGATTAAACATTTAAGTGAAAGGAAGAGCCTCATGTCTCTCACCTTAAATCAAAAGCTAGAAATGATTAAGTTTAATGAGGAAGGCAAGTCAAAAGCAAAGACAGACTAAAAGCTAAGCCTCTTATGCCAAACGGCTAAGTTAAGAATGCAAAGGAAAAGTTTTTGAAGGAAATTTAAAGTGCTGCTCTGGTGAACATGCAAATGATAAGAAAATGAAACAACCTTATTGCTGATATGAAGAACATTTTAGTGATTTGGATATAAGATCAAACCACCCATAACATTCCTTCAAGCCAAAGCCCAATCCAGAGCAAGGCTCTAACTCCCTTCAATTCTACGAAGGCTGAGAAAGGTGAAAAAAATTGCAGGAGAAAAGGTGGAAGCCAGTAGAGGTTGGTTCATGAGGTTTAAAGAAAGAAGATGTTTCCATAACATAAAAGTGTCAGGTGAAGCAGCAAATGCTGACATAGAAGCTGCAGCAAGTTATCCAGAAGATATAGCTAAGATTTTGCTGAAGGTTGCTACACTAAACGAGATTTTTCAATATAGATAAAACAGCCTTCTTTTAGAAAAAGATGCCATTTAGGACTCTCATAGCTAGAGAAGAGAAGTCAATGCCTGGATTCAAAGCTTCAAACAACAGACTGAGTTTCTCAGGAGGGGCTAATAAAGCTGGTGACTTTTAAGTTGGAGCCAGTGCTCATTTGCCATTCCACAAATCCTAGAGCCCTTAAGAATTATGCTAAATCTACGCCTATGTTCTAGAAATGAAACAACAAAGCCTTGTTGACAGCAATCTGTTTACAATTGGGTTTACTGAATATTTTAAGCCCACTATGGCAACATACTACTCAGAAAAAAAAAAGATTTCTTTCAAAATATTACTCCTTATTAACAATTCACCTGGTCACCCATGAGCTCCAAAAATAAAATGTACAAGGATATTAATGTCATTTTCTTGCCTGCTAACACACCATCCATTCTGCAGTCGATGGATCGAGGAGAAATTTTGACTTTTAAGACTTATTATGCTGCCAGTGATAATGATCCTTCCGAGGAATCTGGGCAAAGTAACTTTAAGACCTTCTGGAAAGTATTCACATTCCAGATGCCATTAAGAACATTCGTGATTCATGAGAAAAGGTCAAAATATCAACATTAATAAGAATCTGGAAAAGGTTGATTACAACCCTCATCAACGACTTTGAGGGGTTCAAGACTTCAGTGGACGAAATAAAATAACTTTTATATGTACTGAGAAACCAAAAAATTAGCATGATTAGCTTTATTGTGATATTCACATTACTATGGTTGCCTGGACCTAAACTTGCAAAATAATTTGAACCCCTACCTTATGCAAAACTTAACTCAAAATGGATTAAAGATTTAAATATAAGAGTAAAAACTATAAAGCTCTTGGAAGAAAATATAAATGTAAATCTCTGTGAACTTGGACTATGCAATGGTTTCTTAGACCTGACACCAAAAACACAAGACACCAAAGCAAAAAAAAAAAAAAGATAAACTGAACATATCCAAAATTTAAACCTTCTGTGCATTGAGGGATACTATAAAGAAAGTGAAAAGACAACCTATAGAATGGGAGAAAATATTTGCAAGTCATATATCTGATAAGGGTCCAGTGTCCAAAATATATAAAGAATATTTACAACTTATGATTAAAAAGACAAAAAACCTAATTTTTAAAATGAGCACAGAATTTGAATAGACATTTCTCCAAATAAAGTATGCAACTGACCCATAGGTACATAAAAAGATACACAACATTATTAGTCATTCAGAAAATGTAAATCAAAAGTACAATAGATATCACCTCACATCCACTATAATGGATACAATTTTTTTAAGTGGACAATAAGTGTTGATGAAGTAGAGATTTGGGAACATTCATACATTGCTGATGGGACTGTAAATAATGTGGCCACTGCAGAAAGCAGTTTGTCTGCTCCTCAGGCAGTTAAGCAGAGTAATCACATGACCTAGCATTTTTACAACTAGGCATCTACCCAAGAAAATTAGAAACAAATGCTCACAAAAAAATTTGTACACAAACGTTCATGGCAGTGTTATTCATAATAGCCATAAATTAGAAACAGCCCAAATGATCATCAACTGGTGATCAAATAAAATGTCTACCAACTGATGAATGGATAAACAAAATGTGGTATACTCACACGATGTAATGTTATTCAGCCATGAAAAAGAATGAAATTCTGACACATGCAACAATGGAGGTAAACCCTAGAAACACTATGCTAAGTGAAGAAGCCAGGCAAAAGAAGGACACATATTGTATGATTCCGTTTATATGAAATATCCAAACTAAGTAAATCCATAAATCTATAGATTAGTGGTTGCCTGGAGTTGGAGGGAGGTGAGAGTGGGGAAAAATTGCAAATGGCTATGGAATTTTTTTGGAGGGGATAAAAATATCCTAGAACTAGATGGTGGTGATGTTTGCACCATTTTGGAACTATACTAAAAATAATTGAATTGTATACTTTCAAAATGGTAAATTTTATCGCATATAAATTATATCTCAGTTTAAAAAAAATCAGTTTGGGAGGGAAGGAAGGGGAAAGGAAGAGAATCTTGGAAAGCGAATAGTTTGAACAAGAGGCTATAGCGTTCATTAATTCATTCAATGAACCTATTAAGCACCTACTACATGTCAGGCATTTTGATAGTCACTGGGGATATTGAACAGTGGTAAAAAGGCAGTTACTATAAAATTTTAGTGTTGTCATAGAGATCCTGAAATTTAAAACAGTAATGTTTATTAAATGACCAAGATAATTTAAAGAACTTAATAAAAACCTGCCAGAGATGAACAATACACTACATGTGCCTGGGGCTAGCGAGGTCACTAGGTTAAAAAATACATTAAAAAACATTAGTATGGTGAGATTGTGTTTAAAATTTTTCTTTTTAAAAATGTATTATCATTTTCTTATATCATTTTTATAAGCTTTTTAAAAGATGGAAACTAACCTATACATTGTATACATACAACCCTTCCTGAAGCTTTCCTCCAGTGCATTCACCTCTCTGTGGCTTGACTTGTTCCTTCCTTCATGTTGAATGCCAATGCTCAAAGAGGGAGAAAATCAGGGTCGGAGGGTCCTTAACCTTTCTGCCCCACTCCACACATTTTATAGAATAGTTACTGTCTCTTAGGCCACTTAAATAGACAACCTAAAAATGGTCTAGCCAGGTAGAAATATATGTGTGCATATTCTAACATTTAAATTTTTTCCCTCAGTTGCCAGTTGGAATGCTTGTTTCTGGCTTCCTCAAATTGACTTTATTTTTTCCTTTCCCTCTTAAAGAATGTTTCTTAGAGAGAAAAGATAGGGACCATTTTATTTACTGTTGCTTGGCTACAAGAACACTGTATTATGTGATCAGCATTTAGTTATGCACAATTGGTACAAAAGCATCTGTTTTAGCTGCTTAGCAATTGCTCCTAATAACAGAAGTCACTATTGTTCTACAGATAAAAGTGTCTCTCCATCAGTCCAGAGATTCTCTGCTGAAATGCATCTATGAGATAGTTCGTAAAAGGATTATTAGGAAAAATGCTTTAATGCAATATATATTTCAAAAAGATTATAATCATCACCATCATCATCATTCTCTCCTTGAGGAAACATCTGTATACCTACAGATACTTATTTAACGTTAACCATGATGAAATAGATCACTGAAGTTATATATGAGGAAAAGTCAAACAGTTGAGTATTATGCTAGTAGTAAAACTAACAGCAGAAAATAAAAGTCTAGGTTGAGACTAAACTCAAACTGCCTATGTGGTTAATACAACATTCTTGTCCTTAGGTCACTAAAAAGCCAGAACAAAATTTAAAAATATATACATATAAGATGTAAGCTACTGCCAGATGTATAATAATGCTTTATTAATACAACTAACTTTGTTTTTATTCCTCCTCTAGAATGCTTATACTTACATGGATAAATTAGGATGAATATAATTGCACCTTTTGTAGTTCAGTGTGGCAAAGCAAGGAAAAATAGATTTCTACCACATTTTCCTCCTGGGAATTGTATATAGTGTTAAATCATGAAGAGGGGAATGAATATTAACATGAGGATTATAGAAGAAGTGGAAAGTGGAAGTCACCAAATATTGGAGGATCTGAAATCCATGGTAAACGTTACCACTGGCTTTGCTGGGTACTCCCAGCAAACTTAGGCTACCCCATGCTTGCCTTTCCTCTAATACAGAATTGGTTAAGCATAATCTACCTAACCTATTTTAAATTTGCTACGAGGATTTAATTAGATAAACTACATAAAAGCATGTTATAAAACAACAGCAAAAAAAACAAATACAAGCTAACTGGTCATGATATGTGTGAACTGAAAATAAGGGAAAAATCTATTTTCATGTTTCACTCTATTAATTGTAAAACTTATGTTAGATGAGGTCCACAATTTCTGTCTGGTTTAGTTTTTGCTATGTCCCTAATACCCAGAATGGTTCCTGGCACAGAGTATGCACTCAATAACAATTTGCTGATCTATGAATGCGTTGATATGTAAAATATACATTACTTTCCCTTTCATCTTTTCCTAGAATATATATATATATATATATGATACAAAAGTATCACATATTTTTATTTCTATTCTCTATACAGGATAGAATATAAGTGTTTCTGAATTTAATCAATTGCCTGAAAGCAATAAAAGAGCACATTTTCAGTACAGAGGAAAGAAATTTAATGTCATGCATAAATTAGTACTGACTGAACACATGTTACACTAACAAGAAGGGAGGGTTCGAGATATTTTCTAATGATTTCTCTTAATTTATGTATTAGGGTTGACTCTGAACCTGAAATCAGCAGGCAGGGAGAGAAAACTTAGTAATATCTGGAATCTCTACACCTTAAACAACATGCTCTGCTTTTTCTAACAGCTTATTGGAATCACACAAAATGAGTATAACCAGGGTTATGAAAAATTTTTAAAAGGCTTTTCCAGAAAAGGGGGTGTCTGTGAAAGAATTATAATGATAGACACATTCTTGAGAAAGGGAAGCATCTTTATTTAAAAACCATATATAAAAATATATTAGGCATCCCCACGTGCCAATCACATTTCAAAAGAGTTTTTCATGTTACCACACATAAAAATTATATCAGGTAGGCATTTCATTTCAATTTTATACAGGAGATGACAGAGTGACTAACTTATACAAGGTCTCATAACTAGAAAGCAATGGAGCTGGATTTGAATGCCAGACTTTGGCTCTACCTCCCATGCTCCTTCCTCTGCATTTCACCTGCCTATTTATTCGGGGAGAAGGGAACCAGAGCAAATCACCAAGTCACAGCTACCGTGGGAATTATCCCATGTCCAGACAAGTTAGGAACCTTGCATGGACACCACTAATTTTATGGGCCAATGGGGAGCCTGGCTGATTTTGAAGCCAACTTCCAGCTAGATGGGGTAAACCATGGTGCATAAACTTCCTATAAAGGTACAGATTGGTGTTCGATTGCTGCAGGTTATTTTAAGTGCATTATGATATTAAGCTTCTCAAATTGTACCTGGGCTAGTATGGACCCATTCAGTTCCCAGGCTATGAAATTTCCCACTTATCAGGAGAAAGGGAGGTACCGAAACATGACCAAGGAATTTGAAATTAAGTGCAGCTGAAGACACTTCTATTTGGTAAATGAGTAATGGAGCACAAGAGTTTAAGCCAGGAATTGGGAAGCATTTCCCAATGTGTATATCCGGGTATACACAGGTATATAAAAACACACTTCAGTAGGCTACAGATGATGCATAGGAAGAAGCGGGGGCAGGGGGCAAGGAAAGCATTAATGGAGGAAAAAAAAGAAACCTACAGACAGGGGTAGTAGTATCTACCCAGGGAGCAAGGAGCACTTTGTGAGCAGCAAAAGTGACGGGGTGAATGAGGACAAAAGGTGTTAGGAGGACTTGTGCCACAGCTACTGATGTTGAATTTAACCCTTGGTGTTGGGGGTGAGGAGATGAGGGGAAGAACAAAAAAAGGATAAAACCTTGGTTTCCAAAAGACCTTTTTGACATCCAGATATGGTAACAGTGACCTCTGTCTCTGCAGGTATGTGTGGAGGTTCCTGGACTTCCCAGGACTTCTTTGGCAGACAATCCTTACAAATTGCCCTAGTGGTAGACAATCAGCTGTCTGGTTCTTTCTGTGAGGGCTTGTGCTTTTTCTGTGGCCCTCTCAAAGATGCTACTACCTAAGGAGGTAGAAATATGTGGGTATAAAATGAGCCAGGCCTGGCTAGAGTTTAGATCCAGGTTCCTGCACTTGCTGTATGAGCTAAGGCACTTCCCTGGAGCTCAGAATCCTCCTTGTTAAGATGGGGAGATACACATATCTCTGCAGGTCATGAGTATTAAGAAGATAATTCCTATAAAGTGTTTGATACAGTGCCATCTCACACTTGGTATGAGATGTTCCCTATATGGTAGCTCCAAAATTATCTTCACCACAATTATTATTAACTATCAGTAGCTTTAAACGTTGGCTGCATTTTAGAATTACAGGAGGGACAAGAGCTAAATAATGTCAATAACCTGGCACCATCCCAGACAATTTGGGTATTAATCTCTAGAAATCTGGAGCATAGAAATGTTTTATTTAAAAGTCTCCCAGGTGACTCTAACATTTAGTCCTTGCTGCCACTGTTCTATCTTTAGTCCACACCTTACCTGATTGCTACAGCTCTTACTCCTTCTGGAAGGCCTGCCCTTGAAACTGACAGGGGTACCATTTCTGCTTTCAGAGGCAAATTTACCAGGAGGCTTCTGAAACTTACAGTTCAGTCCTCCTCACTTCTGAGCCCCATCCAAGGCCCTGAAACTAATTATGTATTCATAATTTTGTATTACTTTTACTAAAGTCTTTTGCATTGTATTGGCTTCAGGCTCCATGAAACCTGAATGTCTAAAGCCTTGTACCACTTCCCCTGAAGCAAGCAGAGAGCCCAAAATGCTTAACCTGTGCCTGGATTGAATGTGCTATTGAAACTTGGCATTAACTGGGCTGTGTCGGCCTTCCCCTAAATATTTGAAAAGTCGACATTACCTTGAATTCTTATTAGCTCTTACTGAGTCCTTTGTCTCTTTAAATGCACTCTTCTTTTTATTTTTAGCCTGATAAACAGCTGGCCCAGCTGAATGAACTATATCAACCACCAGCTGAGAGCTAGCCTGGTCACCCCATATTTGTAGATTATACCCCCCACTGGGCATCTGGGAACATTTGGAGGACATGTGTAGCAAATTGACTACCACTTCTGGGTCTTTTCCAAAACTCAGGGTATGAATTAACATTTCCTAAAAATAATGCTATTCAGTGACCTCCAGTCCAGCATCTTATTTTCTTATCCCAATAAAAATAATCATAATTCTTTTTTACAAGTAATTTTTCACTATCTACCTAGAATCCAAAATTATCCTATTTCTCTCAATCTTCTGATCCCCGGAAAGCTTAATTATCTTGTTGCAATTAATATTTCTGAGAGAAACTTCTATCTCAAATTTATTACATGAACAATTCACTTATCTCATAAATGCCATTTTGAAAGAGGCACTGTTCTTACCATTGTTACAGAATACAGGGTTTATCTCTATATAAAGTAGTATGTTTTTCAGTATGGTCCTCGAGGAAGAAAAAAAAAATAAAACCTCATCACCTAAATTATTCTGTTATTTCAAAGGCTGACAGTTCAATTCTCTGTAGAGAGACATAGGGTCAAGCTGCACAAGCAAAAGTAGCAGCTTCCAACATAGCATAATTTGTGGGGACAGACGGGAAGAGGGGCAACAAATCATTCCACTGGCTTCCATGGGGACAAACACGTTTATCTGCTGATGCCTTGAATTGTGCATACGTGTTTTTTCAAGGATACAAATATTCATTACAGGAGAGTATCCTTTTATTTTGGAAGCAAAAATTAATAAGCAGAAAGTAGGGAACCTAAAGAACAGGCTCCAAAACAGGTTAAGAGTTAATAGTATCACAAAGGTTAGCAGAGGTATGAAAGTAGGCTTTCTGTATCCTAGCAAAAACAATATTGGGAAAGCAAGGGAATTAATCAGATTAGACAGTGGTTTGGCAAAGTGTCACTATAAATACTTTCATATTTTTTGTCGTTGGAATAGAACATGTTTTGATGACATTCTTAAGAAATAGGCAGTAATTTTAAAAATATAAAACATTAAAAATAGATTTTTAAGGTAATTCCAAAGTGTTACTATAAATGGATGTCTGGTTTTTTACTAAATCATTCTGTGTTTAAACTATTGATATCGTAGTAACTCAGAGCAAATATACCTGTCATTTCATTAAGAAATTTATCCTTAAGGAACAAGTAAATCAGAACTGGACATTGAAATAAAAATGAATACATAAATAATGAAAAATATAAATTTGAATATAAAATAAAAAGATTTACCAATTTAAATTATCTGTCCCATCTTCTTTTTTCTCCAGAATATATCTTTTTGAACAATTATTTATGTCATGTTTTGGCCGGGTGCAGTGGCTCATGCCTATAATCTTAGCACTTTGGGGGGCCAAGGCAGGCAGATAACCTGAGGTTAGGAGTTTGAAACCAGCCTGGCCAACATGATGAAATCCCATCTTTACTAAAAAATACAAACATTAGCCAGGCGTGGTGGCGGGCACCTGTAATCCCAGCTTCTTGGGAGGCTGAGGCAGGAGAATCATTTGAACCCTGTAGGAAGAGGCTGCAGTGAGCCAAGATCGTGCCACTACACTCCAGCCTGTGCAACAAAGCCGAGACTCCATCTCAAAAAAAAAAGAATAATTATTTACGTAATGTTTTTAATATTTTCATTTCATTTGTTATTGTCTTGACTTTCCTTTAGCCAATAGTGTTGCTTTTTCTTTGACTTAAAAGGTTTTCAATATCTGGGGAGCCACTAAATGTCATAGAGAGTATCTGATTGTCTACGCCTAACAAGTATATGACTGCATCTTTAGAAAATGGCATTCAGAGTTTTGCTGAGTCTTGCTGAAATTTGCTGACTTATTTAATTTGCAAACAAATGTTTTTATCTACCTTGAAAGGCCTAATTGACAAAAGTGCAGAATTAGCCCACTAAAAATAAAACTTTTTGTTTTTTTTGGAAAATCTCCTTTTGTAGCTTTTTGCTGCTTATCACCAGGTGACCAAATTATGCACTTACGTGGAAAAGTAGTTTAAATATGGTGCCAGCTGTGGCATATGACTGCCTCAGGCAGTTAGAAATGTTTCCACTGATACCTCTGAGAGAGAAAATCATCACTCAATCTAACCATAAAAGCTACATAGAGACAAAAATCAATCATTCTAAAAGAGCAAAGAAAAATATCATGTATCATAAATATACACTGGCAGGTATACATTAATAATAGGTACTGTACATATTTATATTTCTTAGATTTATCAACTATTATATCTCCAAAGAGCATGCACATGATATGTATACGTATGATGAGGATATGTATTAACAAATAACAAAACATTCTAATACTAAGACATAATTAAGTAAAAAATATATAATTTTATATTTTAAACTGTCTTGTAGATGAGAATAACAGAGATGGAGGCATACGAAGTTGATGCTAAAATGCATATTATTATAACACCGTGTGTGAGTCTGCATTTTAATGAGATCACTGATGACTCAGAAATGTTTTACAAATTGGCTCCAGTCTACAAGTCTTTAAAATTTATGATTATATTCACTTTATTCTGTGTACCTAGGTACTGTTTCAACATTTTAGATGTTTGTTCTTCAGGGGATACAGATTTTAGATTTCTGCAAAGTTAAACTTGCTTATTTCCATTACTCTCAACTTGTAAATCATAAATAAGCTCTCAAAAATATTTTAAACTTAAATAAAAAGTACTAAGTCATTTGAAATCTGTATTTCTTTGATTTCAAATTTCAACAATACCTGATTCCTCATTTTTTGTGTTGCACTAAATAATGTAATTTTTAAATCCTCAAGCTATTTGTCTGTAATTTAAGAAAGTTAAAATGAAAATACACAGACTTTATAAATGCTTATAATGTTAAGAAGGAAATCGTACTTTATAGTAAAAGGTCATTCTTAGATGACCAACACCAAGGAGAAAAGGAAACGCATAATAAATATGTACACATATTTCTAGGTGGTATAAATTTTTGGCCTATAACTTTTTTCCTCTAATTATTCAAAACCCAGGTTTAGCTTATTGCTGTCAATTAGTAGATGAGCAAACAAGAACAATGAAAACACAACAGAGCATTATTTCCAGCCAGAGTTGACCTTACTTTCTTAGAGTTATCCAGGAACATGCGACACCCACACGGAAGAAACTATAAGATCAGAAGGATCTCTTTTCATGATCATAGACTATGTTGTAGAATAGGCATTTTTATCAAGCATGATAAAATCTGTCCTCAAAAGTACTTCTAAGGGCAAGCTGTGTCCCCTCCTTGTGGCCTTCACACAATTAACGTTCTGCACAGCTGAAAGAAGAAAATGAGTTGAGGAAGCAGAGGCACAAGATCATTCTAGGTGAGTTTTATTGCCCCAAACATAGATATTTTACAAGCTACCTTACATTCATTCTGAATGGGGTGATCACTCCTTATTTATGGGGAGGAAAAAGGCAAATTGAAACACCTTCCCACAAAAAAGGAATATTTTATTGGTTTCAATAAACTCACTCAAAGACTAATACTGAAAATCTTCTCACTTATTTTAGAGATTTCTCTTCAAAGAAAGCCACAATAAATAGTGTCCATAATTTTCAATGTTTAAAAATAGTTACTTCTGCTAAGAAGCAATGGAAATGCATCAGTCAGACTTGAGAGAATAAAACTACTATACAGTATTGCTTACTCTTTATCATTAGCATTGGGCACTCTTATAGTTTGCTATTATTCCATATTTCCTTATCTGTTAAGTATGGTTCATTGGTGATAACCTGAGAGATTTCCTTTAAACTACACCCCTAAAAGATAGGTAGGATTAATCATTTTAGTACTTCTCTGTTCTACCTTCCAACACACCCACCTCCTCAACCATCCTTGTCATTCTCAGTGTCTCATAGTTCATGAGGAAAAAATAGATGCAAAAGAGCAGGAACATTTCCATTTTCTCATTATTAAACCTGCTAGGTATTCTGCATCTGTGCCCACATTATTTGCCTTCCTTCTGTGGAAGACACACCTTGCCCCTGCTTGGATGAAAGTCTGAGCCCTTTAGCTGGGCTCATCATGTTTTCTACCCAAACACACCTCTTGGGAACATTACTGCTGAAATCATCTCCTCTCCATCTATCATCATTGTTTTTTATTTTTTCTTTTAAGCTGGAATTTTTCCATTAGCATCAAAACATGTTCAAAGGTCTCTTTTTTAGAAAACCTATTTCTAGTCCTCTCATTCTTCCTTCTTGACCACTGCCCTTCTCTGTTCCACCTTCTCAATAACACCTATCAAAAGAGTGTTCTATCCTTGCATTTGCATTATATTGCCTCCCATTCACTCTCCTGTAATCAGGTTTCAGTTCCCTCCACTCCACTGAACCTACTTTTACCAAGCCCTCATAGTCAGCAGCAGCCAATACTGTTGGCCATCTTCTCTTTATTGAAATATTTTTTTCTGTTGGTTTCTATGACAGAATAATCTTCTGATTTTTCTCCTATCTCAGTGCTTAATGAAAAGTCATCCTTAAACTCAACAAGTAGGGATAAAAATGCATTTGTAGTTGTGTGGCCCTTGCTGAACTTTCCTCTTCTGTCAGAGCTTTAGGTGTCAGACTGCCCCTAGTCTTGGTACTTCACCTGGTTCCTTCTTCCTTTATTCTTTCTGCTGAGGTGATGTCAGCAGAGGTGATGTCAATGAAGCCTATCTTTTGGTGTCTCCTAAATTTATAACTTCAAATTTAAAGTTTAAAATTTTTAAATTTAAGCTTTTATAAGTCTAAATTTAAAACTTCTCAATAGAGAAGTTTTGTCCTCTCTTTTTATTATGTTTAAAAAGCCACACACCTTCTTCATGGTAGATATCAAGACATCAGTGAAACATCCTGTGTTGCAGTGGTCTTTAATCTCCAAATTACACAAAGATTACAAGGGACATGACTATTATTGCATTCATTCATATTCTCATAAATTGAGCTACTAAGACGTAAAAGGTACATGTAAAGACAGATGAACTTTGCCTCTGACACTTCAGAATATAAAGCATATAGTCCTAGAAAGGGGGTAAAATAGTTTCCA
This sequence comes from Homo sapiens, assembly GCF_000001405.40. Classification (NCBI taxonomy): domain Eukaryota; kingdom Metazoa; phylum Chordata; class Mammalia; order Primates; family Hominidae; genus Homo; species Homo sapiens. The sequence goes on along the minus strand of NC_000003.12, from coordinate 168,492,889 downwards.
TTTTTGTTTCTTAAACAGAAGGAAATAAAAACACAAAGAATCTCAAGTAAAAATACTTAGCATCTGTCAAATTCCAGTCACAAAGGTAATAATCTTGCTAGGCAAAGTAATTTTATCCTTGACCTTGATCCAAGCTTTAAATCTAGTCCAAAGCTACTGATGAATAGCATTTCAAAAGTTTTCCAGGATAATTAATATGAACAGTCCATTTTAAGACTCATCTTAAAGAACAATATCATACTAGAATAATAACTTGATTTTCCCCTTCTTTAAAGAATTTCACAGATAAAGGGCATTTGGGTCTCCCTTTCATAATTATCATATAAGCATTGGAACTATGAATAGCATCCTCCATTCAAGTGTCTCAAATGCCTTATCCTCATTAAGTTTGATCAATTGTGATATTTAAGCCTTGACCCTGAACTTGGTGTGTGTGTGTGTGTATGTGTGTGTGTGTGTGTGTGTGTGTGTGTGTGTGTGTGTGTGTGTGTATGGCTGTATTCATTAGTCAGTTTAATAGATTTTCTGTAAGTCACACATATCTTGGAAGAGGAAATGAAGATTGGAGGTTTTTACTTGTGGTAACTCAAAATATTGAAAAAATTAAACAACCAGAATATAAACTCATAAATATTGAAAAACACCCAAACATGAATAAATTAAGCTATTCTCAAGGTAAAAAGAATTAAATTCAAAATATAAGAGTGAAAAAGACTAAGTGATAGTTTCTTGCTTAATAAAGCCCACTACAAAGTAAACATTAGTTTCTACTTCTTTCCTTAGAAAGAATATTTTTGAAGGGACACTAGAGCATTAGTGTTCTCAATTTAGAACTTTTCTTCTCAAATCAGTAAGAAAAATAACTAATAATTTTTCAAAAAGTATACAAATCATTTGTTCATGAAAAAGGATAAACATTAAAACTTCTTAATGTTTCAGACAAAGATAACAGAATTAAATGAAACACTGGGGTAAGCATTTCATTTAATACTACATTGATTTCTAATATTTTACTGCTCATAGTATATATTAGTAAAACACTTATAACAGTTATATGCATGCAAAACACAAAGAGAAAAACAGTACATTCCCTTCCCTTCAGGAGCATGTTACGGCCAATATATAGCATGACCATTGATCAAAACTGCTTTGTAGCTCTATTCTGGAAATATGTAGATTCCCTCCAGTGCATTAGTACTAGTTGTTCATGCTTTATATAGATCATAACATATATAACACAGTATTTGCAGAAAAATAAATCTGAAAGAATATATGATAAAATATTTACAATGATTATTACTATGAGCTTGAACTTTCCCCTATATCACTGATGGATTTATAGTGTGTATAAGAAACAAACATTACTTTCATAAGCAGAAAAAATAATAAAAGTTTTTATTTATTGAAGTGGATAATCTGAATTGTTCAGATATTCTCTGGCCAGGCAATTTGGATAAATTTATCTGTTAGTATTTGGTATACAGTGAAAACTTCTCACAGTTTTTTTTCATAAATATAGTATATGTGTGATTTTGCAGTATTGGAGTTAAAGATTTATTAAGATCTCATTTTCATGAAGAATATATTCATCTGAAAAAAAACCTGCCATCCAAAAGGAAAATCCTGAGAGATAACATTGCCAAAGTCAAAGAGCATATGTGAAGTATGCATTCTCTAGCCAAACTGAAACCTATCCAAGCTGTGGTCTTTGTCATAGTTATATCGCAGCAGAAAAACTTGAGATGTAAAGCTGTTCTCTAGTTTCCTATTTCTTCTGGAATAAAATCAGGGGTGACCTGCCAACCCTCTCCTTTATCAGTAGAGGCAGCAACACAATAAAGTTACAAAATTAGTAAATGTAGGGATGCCTATCATCATCTTAAGAAGAGCTGCCATTTCATAAAAAGAATATACCATAGGCTTCAAACCTCAGAAACATGGACATTTCCCTTAAAGACATAATTTTGTTAACTAAGACCATAATTAGCTGCAATGTAGGAACATAAAATTTGCATGATGCAAGTGTGCTTATATATCACTTTTATTTATATTAAAATTTAGAAAATATATTTTTATTCTGTTTTGGTATTATTATAAGGGAAATCATAATAAAAGCTTCCATCATTAGTAGTAGATTTGTTGAGTCAGAGAATACAGTTAAAATAGGAAAATGTGAAATATGGCCGGGCACGGTGGCTCACACCTGTAGTCTCAGCACTTTGGGAGGCCGAGGCAGGCGGATCATAAAGTCAGGAGATTGAGACCATCCTGGCTAACACGATGAAACCCCGTCTCTACTAAAAATACAAAAAATTAGCCGGGCGTGGTGGCGGGCGCCTGTAGTCCCAGCTACTCGGGAGGCTGAGGCAGGAGAATGGCATGAACCCGGGAGTCGGAGCTTGCAGTGAGCCGAGATCACACCACTGCACTCCAGCCTGGGCGACAGAGCGAGACTCTGTCTCAAAAAAATAAATAAATAAAAAATAAATAAATAAAAGGAACCATGAAATAGTAACCCTTAATAAAAGGAACTGCACACATTTATGTTGAGCCATAGGAAATTTCTATTTTGTAGCTCAAAATTGGTAGCATATCTGCAATTTTAAAAGGCTTATCTTCATAGGGTGAATGGTTCAGGTAGAATGTCCCCCATGTGGGGGCAGAAGGAGGAGCTGGACACACAGGAAGTAAACATGTTGAGCCACATTTGACATGCTTAGGAATCTGGACTTAACTTTCTCTCCACATCAGCATGTCTCATACATTAAGTGCATACCAATCACTGGGGCATTTTGTTAAAATACAGGTTCTGATCCAGTAGGTGTGAGATGGGGCCTGAGATTCTGCGTTTCTAATAAGCTCCCAAAGGATGTCCCCTCTACTGGTCCTAAGACTGCATGTAAGGTAGCAAGACACTAGGGCAGCGAGTCTCAAAATTTCTTGCGAGAATCACCTGGGAAACTTGTTGAAATGCAGATTTGTCAGCATTTTACTGATTCTATAGTTGTAGAGTAGGTCTAAGGACCTACTTTTCTGTGAGTACTGAGTAGTATTGAAGGAGGTGGTCCTTCACTTAGGAGCACACTGAAAAGTGGGGAGTAGGAAGGTGTTCATCCTTGCATTTATAAAAGTCAAAGAGATGTCAAGATGAAGGGAAACTGAGGAGTACTGATGATTATTTCTTTTTAAAAAGGCAAATAAAAATATTAAGATCATGTGGCAATGTATGAGGAGAACCTCTTAGAAAAAAAAATGTTCAGAATAGTAAGAGATTAACACCTCTACACTGCATCAGTAACTCTGACTGCTTTCAAGTACACATAATTTCATGATTCTTCCTTATGGCTGAATCTCTGCCACTGAAATGAATGTGCCAACTTATACTTCAAGACTGGCCTAGTGATCTATGCCAAGGATTCCACTACTAATTATAGCTCATAGTTCTTGGAAAGAAAATATGAGATAAGTGTAAATTTCTGTATGATAAAATGAAGGCACAGATGCTTCTGTATCCCTCATTTAATACTGCTGAGTGTGCTCTCACCAAAGATGAATACTCCTTAGAGTCACATAAAATATCTGCATATTATATGTACTGTACACTCATTTTAGGTTGCCTAAATAAGTTTAGGTTGCTCAATAGATATTATACATATGCTGAATGAGAAAACTTTATGTTACTGTTCTCTAACTTTGAATAAACATTTGTAGCATCAAAACAATACCACTGCGATTCTAAAGACTGAACCTAAATGTGTCTTCCTCTGTAAAGTTCCAGAACAATACCATGCCCAGGAAAGACATGAAGCCAGGCAAGTGTGGGTGAATACCTGTTGCTAAATAAACCTGGTGGCTGTAACGAATCAAGTTCAACAAAGAATTAATGAATACCCTAATTGATGCAGTAATTACCAAGAGGTCAAGCCAAGGTAAGATTTGATAAAATTTAGGCTTTTCAGTGTTCCATATTTTTGAATACACAAACATAAAGTTAGGGAGTTAAATTGACTATTCTTCCAAATCCTAGATTTTATATATTACCTTTATTGAAGTAGAGCTGGGAAGGAAAATATAGTAGCATAAAGAGATTTTGCTATTTAATTTAGCATTGCTTTCATTTTTTATAACTCAGCAATGTAACTTTACCATCACAAAAAAATTTAAAAATGAATAGACTTTTTACAATCAGAGTTAGAAATCACAAGCTGGTAACTCTTAAAAGCCTAGCTAGTGAATTCAAACATAATGAGAACAAACCCCATCTTGAGCTATTTCCTTGACTTTTTTCCCCTTAATATTGTAGTTCTGCCTAAAATGACTTTAAAGGGCTATAACACTTCATGGCAGATTGTATTTTTCAAAGCTAACTGCAACAATATTTTACATCCCACACTCTTTTCTCTAATATGATCCCGACACTCCACCAACAAGAAGTGGAACTTAATTTCTCTCTTGATGTATCTGGCTTGGCCTTAGTGACTTGCTTGACAAATAGAATGTGACAGAAGGAATGTTTTGGAATTTCTAAGGCTAGGTCACAGGAAGCCTCACAGCTTCTACCTGGGTCTCTTGCAATATTTGCTCTTGGGAGACTCTCTCAAAACCCAACTGCCAGGCTCTGAGAAGGCCAAGCCCCATGGAAAGGCCATGCATAGACACTCCAGCTGACTACCCAAACTGACACACGCTTCAACCCCTCCCCTCATACACCTTTCTCCTATGAGCTTTTGAAAAGCATTAGTGACCAGGCCCTCATCTACTTGTCAATTAAATCAGAATCTCTGAGTGAGGGGCCCATGCATAATGTTTATAAAATAATTCCAAAATGATTGTGACTGCAACCTGCAGTGAGGGTTGAAAAGCACTCAATTAGCACAGGACCACTCTCAGATGACAATAATCAGCTTCCTTACACTCTTTCTGTGCCGTCAAACCTGAAAAGCAACTTAACATTCAAGCAGATATTTGCAAATGGTACATGTAAGTATACCATTCTTGATTTAAATAAACTAGAAAATCTGGTTTAAGTAATATTCCTTGAGTCACATATTTTTGTTTTCTGTGCTTGTCCAATTAATAAGCCTATTATTTGCAGTGCAGCAGCTACAAAAATATAACAGAAATTCCAAGAAAGATATCACTCATTTTATCACACTGCTCCATAGATTATAATCTAGTGGGCAGAAATGTTCATAAATAACTATTTGAAACATTAGGCAAATAATACTGTACTTGAAATATGTGGTTCACAACAGAAATAGTGGTTATCTTTAGGGATGGCTTTGTGGGCTTGCAACCAGTGCAGTGGCAAATGGGCTTAATATTCTCCTCTGTGGTAATCTTGAAATTGAGTTTGTGCTTTGTAAGTAAAGTCCAAGGGGCCAATGGAGTATGCATGCAACAGAAGCTTGGAGTTCTGGCACACAATTTGTAGCACCTCCCATAGACGAATTCTTCCTTCTTCCTCTCAGCCTCACCTCCAGCCCACTACCCTAGACACAGGGTGGCAGCGTCTAGGTCTGGTGAAGAAGGAGGACCTGGATGTGGGTACAGGAAGGCTGATCAGGCATGCATCACAGTCAGGTGGCCTGGCAGTTCCATGATGCAGCCAGCAGTCAACTCTTGTCCACCCCGAATCCAGATGTCTAGTGCCCTAGCTGGCAATCCCTTGGAAATCACCTGTCCATTAACTATGGGAAGAGGAGACTGACTTTCTCACCTTCAAGTGTAGGCTTACACTTTTTTTCACTTAGTTTTACAAATTACATAGATGAGCCTAGTGATCTTTGTTTCTGGAGGAAAGAGGCTTATACCAACTCTTTGTGAGAAAATACTGAAGCACCTACTCAGACAAGTCTATATGCAACAGCATTTTGTTTCAATTACATATGTGTGATGCGTTAGATAATAGCATAAAATTGGACTAATCGCTCAGTCACGTTTCTCAACAGAGGTGAGAAAACAAAACTGGATGTACATTAACTGGATGGCAAACAAGTGATGAGAAAGTACAAATCGGGTAGGAGAAAAATGGATAAAGAAATAACTTCTGTTGTTTGGAAACTTACAAACTCCTTTTAAATGGAAATCTGACCTTTTTCTTTTTGCAGCCAGGATAAAAAAAAATCCCAGGCAAACAATAAATCTAAAACAATTCAAAAATCATAGAAAAATTTCTTGTGATTAAAAAAGCTGTTACAAGAGTAATAGAATTTGGTATCTAATTTCTGGTCTTAAGACTGTCCATGTTGTGACAAATCACCCTGTTATATATAGGAAGATTCCCAAGATTAGCATTTACCTTTATCAAAGGGCAAAAAGAACTTTGAGGTCATAACTGAAGTGAGATTCATCCTTGGAAGAAAGAGTATTAAGTATTTGGAATTATATATACATTTTGTCCCAAGATGAAGTTTGGTGTTATGGAACTTTTATTATCTTTGGAAACATTTCCAAAGTTTTTGTGACTTAAAGATACTCATTACAAGACAGTTTCACTTACCAAGACAACATTAAATTGAGGTTTCAGCATACCAAAATATTTCATTAACATTATATCACAGAAGTCTGGATTACATTATTTTTTCCTCAGCTCTCTTGACAAGTTCCCACTTTTTAAATAGTTGTCATTTGTGGTATTAATTTGGAAAGGCAAATACAGCAGGAAAAAAGTTAAGAAACATAAGTTGTATGTTTCTTAGTATCACAGCCAATAAACTGTCTCAAAAACAGACTGGCAGGCATTCTGAGGTGCTACTAAAACAAGAGGCAGTGAAACATGAGAAACCATACAAAGGATGACGAAACAGAAGAGGAAAAAACATTTATTGGTTTTCTCATTCTCACTCCTCAATATGAATGGCAAGTAAAGACAGATAAATGCCTTCTGGGACACATTTCCTAATACGCAACAGAAATCTGTCCCTAAGCAAAGAGATGGCTGCACTTGTCATTGATTAATTAGCTTATAAATCCTGGGAGGATAACCTGTATATTCAAGGACTGCTAAGGACTATAGAAGACAGTGAAGAAAAAATTCAGAGAACACAAGATTGTAAAAAGAAAGAATGCAAAGAGGCTCAAAGTTCCTCTGTTTATCTTCATATCAAATATGAGAATGAGGACTGAAAACTGAAAGAAATTTTCAAGGTTATTCTCTCCCTCTAGCCACTGAGATAGCTCCCTGTAGCCTGCATAATTGCTCTCCCTAAAAAGTGGGGCCAGAATAGGAAAGTTCTTTAGAAATCTTTTATCAGTGCCATCTCATCCAGTGGAAAGATTGTCAACACTTCAAGAACATATTACCTCTAATGAGCTGGGGCACCTCCAACTAGTCTCTAGTTTCCCTTTCTTGGAGGTGTAACATTTGATAACATAGCATGGGATTTCCAGTCAGTTCTGCCACATGCTAATTGGATGACCTTGGACAAGATACCATATTTTGTAAAACCTAAACCATCATTGAATTTAAGATACACTAATATTTTTTCTGTCACTCAGAAAAATCAAACAAAACTGCCAGTTATCTTCATGAGACACATCAATATTAAGAAGCAGTCCAATTTCAAAGATGTTAAAATGTGAAAAATGTGCATCTCAAAATTGATGAAGTATGATTCTTAATTTTCTAAGCCACAACTTCCTCACCTGTAATATGTGGACAGAAGCTAATTTACATTTTTGAGGATTTAATGAGATGAAGCAGGCTGCATAGCAGCTGCATCATAACATTTCAATCAGGTTTAACTGTTGTTGTTGCTATTATTTTTTCTTGAATCTAGTTAGACCCAATGTTTTAAAGAATCTATCCAATAGGTGAGGCAGAATCAATCTACCCTGATCACAATAGACTAGGAACAATCTTGTGAGAATTTCTACTAGCAATCCAGTAAGCATACATAATCTCTCAAGAAAGCCTGTGTTGCAGAACTGCCAGCATGAAGTGTCACAAGCAGAATCCCCAGAAGTGTTTCTGATCACCTCTTGGCTCTCCCACAGGGTCCTCCTTTAAAAAATGCAGCCAGCTGAGCCCCTCTCTGGAGCTCAGAGATGATCATAGCCAAAGGTAGTATGACTGCAGGTCATGATTAATATTGATTCTTTCTTTTTTATGTGGTACAATTGTTCTGTGTGTTCTTTATATGAAACTCTTCTCTTTCCACTTGTGTATAATGTGAAAAGGGAATGTGGGGAGGGGTTGAAAATGCATGAAATTTTATAAAAGTTTTTTTTTTAATTTTGACTAACAGTCAAATTAAATCAGCTAAGTGAATCTATACTGCAGGCACAAAGGAGAGAAACCAGTGTTATTTTCCTGTGAGTGAAACACTAGAGAATCCATGCCTTTGAAATGTACTTGTAAGAAGCATGATTGGTATCAGCTGTGAGGACAGAGTCACCAATATAGAAATAATGAGAAGGAGAGGCCTGCAGGCAGAAACACCATGAAGAGTATGATGAGTATGTGCATGACTGAAGATCAATATGTTCAGAAGATGATGGAATGGGTTTCAATGAGGAGAAAGAATTGATTGAGATAGCTCAAGTGTGTGCAGGAAGACCAAGAAGGACTGAGAATCTGACACCTGTCAACATTGACCTGAATGACATGGTGGCCTCCCTGTTACACGTTGGCTGCTTTTCTGTGTAGGTTAAAGATAAAGCATGATATGAGTACAAATGAATAAATGTGTTCTTATTTTAAGGATCAAAAACTTTACATCTTCAAAATTATTTTCAAACGCTTAATTCTCCTAAAATTACTTCTAATGAGATGGCAAATTTGTCTAAGGCCTGTAGCATAGTGCCTAGTGCATGGACAAGCCTTGGAAAAATGTTTAAGTTTGCCATTTCTTTTACAGTTTAATCCAAAAAAAGTCATAGTAGACTTGAACTATGTCCATAGTAACATCACTATTACATATTCTTCTTACTATCAAAAGCCTCCGGCCTTATTGTGAAGAACTACATGCTTATTTCTTTGAGACCATTAAAAGAAGTGAATATCTCTTGTTGTACCAATGGGCTTGGAGACCCGCTTGGAAAAACTTCTTGATCTAGAAACTACTAGTGTAGACTAGTCAAGTGCCCAACCTATTTTATAGGATGGCTATTTTCCTTCCCTTGATTTTATTATCATACTTTCCCCTAACTGTACATTATACTCCTTATTAAAAATATTTCTGCCAAAGCAATCATAACTCATTAGGAAACTTCCATCTTTTTCCTTGCCTTCCATATTTATACTTAGATCTAGAACCCTAACATGATCATGTAGTAACATTTTAGATAGCTTTTGAAAGTAATTATTTTTCATAATCATCAACTTCCCAAAATCCCTAAATACATCTTTAAACATTTCATCATTGAACTAACAGATTAAACAACATATTTACAATCTTTAGGCATGTTCTTATGACATTGCAAGGATCAACTCTAAATTTCTACTCTAAACTTTTCAGGGAAGAGCTGTGTTAACTTAATGAGGCTTTGCTTGCACTGTGCAAAATGAACAAGTATTGGTCTCCACTGGGAAGATATGAATTATTATTTCAACAAATATATATAATCCCTGACTCTATACAGCTTAAAGTCTAGAGTCTGCTCCAAATAAGTTCACCAACAATTTAAACATAGTATAATAAGTGCTGTGATAGGAATATCCACAGCAATATGTTAGAAGTAACATATCGAAAGGGCACTTCAGCCAGAGTAGTGGTTTAAGGAGAGATTCTCAGAAGTGGCATTCTCTACACTGAGGCTTGCACTAATCATAGGGTGAAGAACACGAGCCTTCCAAAGTACCACTTTGGGTTTTCTGGTTTTCCAGATCATTCATTGTGCCAATCCTCTCCACTGCCTTCTTACTTGAGGAAGAGGTGCCCTCGAAATGTCAGCCAGTGTTCTGGATTTAACTTTTCCTAGTGTCTTATTTATTACTCTTTTGATTAAAAATAAGAGAATCACTTCAACCTTGTTTAATCAAAGAAGATGTACAGGGAAGATGATGGGATAATGATAGAAATCTAGTAGAAGGGAGAAACCTTAGAAGAAGCTCAGAGCAGAAACAGGAAAGCCAGCAGGAATGTGGGCAATATCTGCCTCTCTCTGTCCTTTCCTGTCCGTCAGTCCCTGATTTCTTTATGCCCCTCTTGCTTTTTCTTTTTTCCGCTATTCTAATTGCTGTGATGGGCATACACACAGTGCATTCAGAGCCTGAGTACATACGGCTACATTTTATGTCACCCACAGAAATAAATAAACTTCTCAGGCCCAATAAGAAATTTCTAGGAAAGAGATTCTGCCAGTCAGTATCTGCTGTAGTCAATAGAGTATTGTCATAAAGCAGAAAAGAGGTTCACTGGCTCAACTGAGTAAAATGAGCACATCTCATTGATGAAACTGTGACCTGATAGACCCTTCAAAGAAGTCTACTCCACTCTATCTTCAGGAACATTGCTTTTCATCATTCTACTGGCCTTTATTTCTATCTTTTAAGGATTTCAAGCTTGCAAAATCATGAAATTCATCTTTTTCCCTTAAATAACATTTCACTTCTGCCTCAAATTCCAATACAAACTCTTTTTAACAATTTTTCTTTATCCTTCTCTATTTCCATATCAGTCAAGCAATTTTCACACTGCAAAAACATGTATTTGTTATCACAGAATCCTTCTTTTTCCACCCTAAAACTTCCCCTTCTTTTGGGTGTTGGAACGCTGTGTTAAGGTATTTCCACTCTTCCTTCCCCTTTTATTCCCTTACCTTTTTCCCATTGATCTAATGTAGGCATCTCTTTATTTAAGATAAATTAAGCTTGGTTCTTGGCCTCAAATACTTTTCTCTTGGAAAAAAAAATGAATTTAATTCAATGACATTAATCACCCAAATCTATAAACCTCAACCAATGATTCCTCTGTGCTCCTAGACCCATATCTGAACTTTTATTATTTATTTTTTTCTCATTAACTCCTCACAGCCAGTCACTCACCATGTCTGGCTGATTCTTTCTTTGAAATGTCTTTTCAGATTTTTTTCAACCCACCTTGAGAACCCTAGTCTAGTTTTCTCATTATTGCACACCTGGAGAACAAAACAGTCATCTTTCTGGCCTTTGTGCTTTCATCTCTGTTGTGATAATTCTTTAAAAAACATTCTTATCTTATATTCAACTATTTCTCTGGCTCAAGAACTTACCACAAAAAATTATTGCTTCGCGAAATAAAGCCAAACTCTAAAGAAAGCATAGAAAACTGTACATTACTTGGTTCATTTTATCAGATAAATGATCCTCAATTTCATTCCTCTTAACCCAGCAAGGCCAGACTTTTGATGTCTCAAGGGTCTTTCCCATCTTTGCTGAGAGTCTTGTTTCACCCAACTACCACATCTTTTACATGTCTTTTAAATTCCATTTTGCTCATCCAAATCCATCATATTTTTTAGGACCTGTCTTGCTTCACCCTACAAGGATCATTCCCAAAGCCCCCTATCATGTTTCTTATACTGTGTTGTTAAAATATTGTTTTATGGATATTTTTAAATGTTTACTTCCTCAATTAGATTTAAAAACCATGAGTGAGAAGACACAAACACTCTGCATAGAGTCAGGCATGCAGTATACCAGTGGCTATAAACAGGCAGCCTATGGGCCAAAACAGATCCACTGAGATGCTACGTATCTCATAAACATTTAAATATCCAGAGATTTCACCTAAAATATGGTATCCTAGCTTCTCCAAAAAATAGAAATGCATTCTGTGATAGGCAGAATAATTGCCTTAAATGCTTAAAATGTCCACATCCTACTCTTTAGGACCTGTGAATATGGTATGTTACATGGTGTTATGGTAAATTGTATGTGTCAACTTGACTGGGATAAGGGATACTTAGATAGCTGGTAAAACATTATTTCTAGGTATGTCTGTGAGGGTACTCCTGGAAGATAGTAAGTTAATCAGTGGCCTAAATAAAGAAGATCGCCTTCACCAATGTGGATGGGCATCATTTAACAAACTGAGGGCCTGAGTAGAACAAAAAAAGTGGAAAAGGCATATTCACTCTCTTTTTTTGAGCTGGGACATCCATTCTCTCTTTCCCTTGAGCACCAGTGCTCCTGCCTCTTGGGCTTTCAGACTTGGGACAGGATTTACACCATCAGCTCCTGATTCTGAGGCTTCCATATTTGGACTGAATAACACCCCTGGCTTTACTGGTTCTCCAGCTTGCAAACAAGAGAATCTCTCAGCCTCCATAACCAAGTAAGAGAATTCCTATAATAAATCTCTTCTGATATAGATTTATACAGATCCTATTGGTTCTGTGTCTTTAGAAAATGCTAACACACATGGCAAAGAGAAATTAAGGTTGTTAATAAACTGACTTTAAAATAACAAGGTTATCCTGGATTACTCAGGTAGGCCCAATGTAATAGCACAAGGGTCCTTTACATGTGGAAGGGGGAGGCAGAAGAATCAGTGTCAGGTGATGCAGGGTCAAAGACTTCACACACCATGTTTGACTTAGAAGATGGAGGGGTACAAGAGCCAAGGAATGTGGACAGCCTCTAGAAGATGTACAAGGTAAGGAAATGATTTTCCCTCAGAGCCTCCAGGAAGAATGTGGCCCTGCCAACACCTTGGCTTCAGCTCACTGAGACCCATTTCACACTTCTCACTTTTGAGAACTATGAGATAATAAACTGGTGTTTTGTTTTGTGTAGCCATCAAAGTTGTGGAAATTTATCATAGCAGCAATGGGAAACAAATATGCATGCACGCATTAGGCCCCTGTTGCTGCACAGCATCCTTGGGAGCTGAGTGGTAGGCGCACATTTTCTACTTCAAAACAGTTATCACTCTTCCTACTTTTGACATCATAAGCATTTGACTTCATGACACCTAAAACAGTCATTCAATAACTAGATGACCATAAGAATTACTAACGCTATTATGTATAATATTAAATGCTATGTTTCATCAAATAAAAGCATTGAGAAAATGTGTTCATGATTGAATAAAATTGTAGAATATAATGTCCACAAAATATAGCCTACAAAATCGTAGTTTAAGGTCTGCCTGCAGCTTTAAGTGATAATAGTGTTGCTGAGTAGAAATATTTCGATGCACTGTGGCAGGATGTTAGTGGTGCTAGATAATTTTATTAATGCAGAATGTACAAGCATTATATGGCATCCTAAACTGGAAACTGAAAGAAAAGTTGATCGTCAACACAGTTATCCATAGACAATTGAGCTAATTAAGCATGTGTTCTTCATCCTGTTATTTAAGAACATCTGATAGTAAGTATTGCGTAAAATGAACAATTCCATATGTCCAATACCGTTCATTTATATGTGCCTTACAAGCTTGAAAAGATACTACAGAGTGCTCTTTTCCCTGACCAAATTCAGATGTTTAAAGCTTTTTTTTTTTTTTTTACAATCACAGAACTGCTTTGTTTTAGCTTGAAAGCTTTGGAGAATATTTCTGTTGTAGCTAGTGAAATGATCATTTCAGAATTATTGTGACTTAGAAACAGGTAAAAGGACATTTCGGCTGCAATGATTTTTTTTTTCTTTTTTGAGACCGAATTTTGCTCTTGTTGCCCAGGCTGTAGCACAATGGCACGATCTCGGCTTACTGCAACCTGTGCCTCCCGGGCTCAAGTGATTCTCCTGCCTCAGCCCCCCAAGTAGCTGGAATCACGCCCAGCTATTTTTTGTATTTTTAGTAGAGATGAGGTTTCCTCATGTTGCCCAGGCTGCTCTCGAACTCCTGATAGGTGATCCTCCCGCCTTGGCCTCCCAAAGTGCTCGGATTACAGGTGTAAGCCACCGCGCCCAGCAGGCTGCAATGATTTAAAAACAAAACAGACTCAAAGAAGTAAGACTGGAAACCAATAGGATTCTGCTTTTGTAAGCTGAATGAAACCACTGGATCCCTGTAACCCCAGAAAAGGCTTTCACATCTATGTCTTAGTCACTCAGGATGTGCCACTAGAGATAGGACTAAGCCCAGATGCTGCTCCATCACTGAACTTTTGGATAAAAACTCAGGCAACAATCACCATTCAGACTCTTCTGAACAGTTTAAAGGCAAATTACATTTCAGAAAGAGTACTATTTTGTACAACACCTCAGAATGTAATTTCATAAAACTGTTTTAGCACTTCCTTTCCTCTACAACAATTATTCTCTTGAAAAGATGTATGATTTTTTTTTCTTGAGATAACGATTATGGAAGCCTAATAGATGTCATCATGACGAAATTCCATCCTAATTTCCTCATTCAGTAGTTTAGTCTTAAATTGCCACAGACTTGTTATTCTGTTTCTGAATCTCTCCCTTAGAATGGCTGCCAATCAAGTTAATCTACTCAATATGAAGTTTCTATGATGAAAATCCAACTTGTTCTTTAGCTAAAGGAATCCGCACTGGTGAACTTACCAAGTCAAATATGAACCCAAACAAATGATAGAAATTTGAAAACTCACTGTTTCATAGACCTTTGGTTTTAAATTGAATAAAATATCCCAAGACCTGTTCATGGAGTTCTGTGAGTTTTTCTCCCTGCTGTGAATTCACTTTCTTAAATGGCTACTTTTGAAGCCATTAGCCTTTTTAGTAATTAAATTTGAGTCACCAAGGGAGACTCCAAATTCAAGTACAGAACTAATATTCACTGAATCACTGCTATTTGGCAAGCATTTTCCTAGTCACTTTAAATATGCTTTTTATTTAACAACTTTGATATGTATGTATTATTTTCTCCCATCTGAAGATTAAAAAACCAAGGCCCAAAGAAATCACACAAGCCAACAGGTATATAGAAAGCCATTCTGACTCCATGTTCCTTCCATTATCACTAGTGTAAACCCCTCAGACTATCCACTTTTATATGGATGGTGCTGCAAAGAGCCTCAGCCAATTCTAGCATCTGGACCTTTCAAATTCCTCCCACAAGCTAATGTTGCATTTGTTTCTGCGATTTTCTGTTGGTACATGAAATATTTTATATTATAAACATTTTATATTACAAACAATTTAAAACACAGTTTTACATACAATAATACACTCTCATTTATTAGCTTCAAATAAATACTGCCTGATGTCATTTTCAGAATGAGAGGCCATCATGGATTCAATTTTTTTTTAAGCCTTTACCCATAGCTGAGATTTCTGTATCTTTTTCAAACTACATGCTCATGGTTACTCCATGTTTCTTTCTTTAATATGGTTTTACTTTCAGAGGATTCCAAAAGGTTCAATTCTTAGGAACAATATAGTATAGTTGGGTAATTAATTAGAAATACTGAAATAAGCCTTTTATACTTTCTAATTTCTTTTTATTCACAAGCATGATTTCTTTGACATGCACATACTCTTTTTAAAAAATTATTTAACAATTTTCTTAAAACTTTATTACAATATCTTATAGTTCATGTTTAGTAAAAAAAAAAAAAAAAAGAGAGAGAACAAAAAAGATAAGAAAAATTTAAAATCTCATCACCAAAAAATTACTGTTAATATCATATGCATATCCTGGTAATCCTTCTTCCATATAGATAAATACTTTTTTAGAACAAAATATATAATATGATCTTGTATTCTCCTTTTCCACTTAATTTATCAGAGACCATTTTCCATGTAATTAAATATTATTTTACATCACCATTTAAGTGTCTTAGTATTTTCTCATTTTAATAAAGCATAATTCAATTTCTATTAACCGGCTATTGTTGAAGATAAAGGTGTTACCAACTTTTTGCCATTATAAAATGGAATTGCTGATGCTTCATATGAAAGACACACTCCCAACAGCACTCATGGAAACGATTAATATATTCCACACGCTAACAAAGACTGTCTATTATATTTGTTTAAAAATATTTGTCAGTGTGATCATCCAAACGGTAGTTTATTTATTTAATTCACTTGTCCCACGTGCTCTCCTCTTGCTGACCTATACTTGCAACAGTGACCTACACCTCAGAGCAACAAAAGTGATTTGTGGTAAATCACGACCAAAATACATTTATCAGCCCTTCCCAGTCCTCAAAGTGGAGTGATAATGGGACTAGCAGCCCCGCTGACTCAATGAGGTAGACAGATTAAAAGAAAAAAAAGCACTTAGAAAAACAGATACTTTACGGGGAAAGGACGCACATATGGCTAAGTGCACACCATGCAGCCATCTCTCTCTCCTTTCTTTTACTGAACGGTGCTTTTACTGAATTGACAAAGAGGGCACTGGGTTCATAAATAGACTCTAACAGCACTTTCAGAGCACTTCGGTTCAATTATCATGAATTAACTTTAAAAACAGCATTAACTTTTCAGCATATACAATGCACCCAAGAAGAACAACATAGTTAGGAGTTCGTTCTCTCTCATTGAACTTTTCCCTTTTTATGCTCGAAACCAGTAAGTAGCCTTCAAGAAAAGGCTTCTTGTTCCACTGATAGGTTGTCACTTAGTCGTCAAAACTGTGTAGTGTGCCCAAGACTGTCTCTGGCTTGAAATGGCTGCTTGATTAGACAGCGAGGATTTACAAGGGAAGAGTACAGTCCATTTCTGGACAGAAATGTAGATAAAGAAGTATGAGAGAATAATCAGTTCCCCCGCAACTTCACCTTGATGCTGTGGGTGTTCAGATCTACAGGTTTGAATCTTTAATCACTCATCTGAAGATGATCAGTGATCAGTTTATAATCCACAATTATAGTTTAGCAATTTATACTTTAATAATTCTGGAGTCAAAAAATTGTGCATTTCATTCACAGGCCACCTTCTCGTCATCAATATACTTCAGAAAAGATGGTAATTATGTTAAGCCAATTATTTAATTAAAGGGAATTATACCAGAATCAGTTAAGAAGCTTTTCTTAAACTATTCATCTCTGTATTTTTTACTATTTCACCCAGACTTTCTAGTGTTATCTAGCAACTGCTGACACAAGTATCTGTTCCCCTATGATATGAAGTGGCACTCCTCTACTGTGGTGAAACAGATAAGAATGTGTATTAAAGTATCATGGCAAAGGAACTCAGTTGTTTCATGTATCATTCCAACCAGACTCTAGCAAGAGGCAATGCCAATAAATACTTATTAAGCATTTATTGTGTGTCAGGCATTAGGATAGGTGATGTTATTTAATTTATTACTCACAACTATCCTGTCATGTGATTAACCTAATTTCAAAGATGAGGAAAGAGAACAGAGTTCAGCAATGTTTCCAAAGACAGATGATTAACAAGAGGCAACACGGTACCCAATGCATGTCTCCTGAGTCTAATATCAAGTATTAAGTTAGTTTTATGCTACAGAATATAATTTTCTAGTTGCCGTTTAGATCCACTAGATAGAAGTGCCTTCCCAATTTGAAGATAAATTACTTCTTTACAGTTCTTTCATTTCTAATATGCCTTAATATCAGCCAATCAAAGCACATCTTATTTTAACATTCCCTCAAGATTGGTGAGAATTTATGTGTGTGGGAGGGGAGGGGGTGGTGTTTCTGGAGGTCCTGCAATACCAGGTCAATGCATGGAGTGGACAGGACAAGCTCCTATTCCTTCTCTCTGTTCCAAAAATCCATTAAATATATTGTCCTCAGATAAAGGAGATCTCAGATATTAAACTGATAAAGATAGATATTACACTTGATCTTAGTCAAAAGGTTGAGAAGTGATTGATGAGGAATCTTATATTGGTGATATTTTAGATAGTATCTGGAAGATAACAATCATTTTACTGAGATTTAAAAGATGCCTGACTCATTCTAGGAGTCCATCGGCAATATATGCAACCTCGGCTTTTAGGTAGTAATATATCTGTAGATGCAAATCTCATCATTTGAATAGACAGTTAACTTCATTTTTATCAGGTGACAATTTTTAACTGAGTCCATAAATTCCACAGACACATCTACAATGCCTATACACACTAAACTTTTCAATAAAGCTCTGATTACGAAAATTCTCCACTTTAATCCTGTGCTCTACTCTTTAAATTTGAAGATTCAATATTTTTAAAAAATCTCATTTAGGAGTGATGCCCCTTTTCCATCAAGAAGAAAGTTGCAAAGGTAGGAAATAGCAGGATGAGAAATAAGACTTAATCTCTATATAACACTTAGCCAATAATCAATAGATTACAACTGCAGAATTTTTAAAAAGCAAGGGTACCAATTAATTAGTATATATAATTCATCATTTTAAAGTTTGTCCCTAGTTTAGCAAAAGCTAGTATTAATTTCTCAGCTATCTTTATTCCATTTTGGTAATTTATTACATGCTACACAAAGAGATCCCAAACAACTGCATACAGGACATTTTACCAACCTGTATTAGATTTGGCTTCTGCTGAATAGGACAATGCTTTATGCTTTAAAATAAAAAAGTGTCCCTCAGAAGCACACTTAATAGGGCAGAGATTCTTTTAATTGTAATTATTATTACTAAGAACATATCTTGAGGAAACAACTATCCCTAGTGATAAGTAGGACAGGATTCATTTATTATATGTCCTACCTTGTAGGTCCTTGAGCTCAGGAAAATGAACAAAGAAACTTTCAAACCTTGTTTCAATAAAATGTTATGAACAAAGTTTGCTATAATAAATTTTGATATTAACATGCAAGGTAAAACTCTGTAGAGCAAGACAAATATAATATATTCTTATGAAATCAATAATTACAGTAACATCCTAAAATCTATTTTAAATAACTTTTAATTTTGCTAAACTAATTCAGGATACACTCAATGTCTTCTCTTGCACTTGTCTGATCCCAGGTTTGCACATCGCTTTCTTCAAATTGGGCTTTCCACCTTCTACCCCTAAAATTTAAATATTTTTTTCATTCATTTTTCAGTTATAGTTTTTTTCTACATCTCTAGAACATGATATTTTGAATTAGTATATTCTCCACTTAGGGTCTCTTAAATTTTCTGTTAAAAGTTCATGTATATGGACCAGGCACAGTGGCTCGTGCCCATAATCCCAGCACTCTGGGAGGCCGAGGTGGGCGGATGGCTTGAGCCCAGGAGTTCGAGACCAGCATGAACAATATGGCAAAACCCCATCTCTACAAAAAAATGCAAAAATTGGCCAGGCATGATGGCACATGCCTGTAGTCCCAGCTACTCTGAAGGCTGAGGCAGGAAGATCGATTGAGCCTGGGAGGTCAAAGCTGCATGAGCCATGATCATGCCATTGTACTCAACCCTGGATGACAAAATGAGACCTTGTCTCAAAAACAAAAAGAAAAGTTCATGCATATGATTAAGATGAAGCACAGCACACTCAATCAGTTTTCTCTCACAGAGAGGAAAGTTTATCTTCAGTTCCAACTGTTAGGCATGAGGAGAATCAGATGTGAATGGTAAGAAAAGGTCTTTGTTCATGTGCAATGAAGTAAAATGTTTAACATCACTAAAAGCCACCCTCTCTAATCTTCTCAAGACAAAATTTCTGCCACACTCACTCAATACTTTATAAATTACTTATAGCACATATCATACCAGACATTGTTGCTTGAAATAAAAGAAATGGTCTCAGATGACAGAAAGCATATTCAATTCATCTTGGAATCATAGTTTTTAATAGGTGGCCTAAATTATTAGTTGCGGTTTAACTAAATTATTTTTCTCAGATATTTACTCATAAAAAATAATAAAAAAAATCTTCTGGCTTTTGCTTAAAGAACAAGCTTGTGGCAAGATAGTAATGTGAACAGCATTAATACTATCAGGAAAAATTGGGAAATGCTTTGAGAAATGCAAAAGCACTGCTGGATGTACTGTCTAGTATGCCTTTCTTGGTTACCTCTGCCTTCCATTGTCTTTGAGCTATTTTATAACCCTGTAAATTGTAGAAAACTGATAATAATGCAAATTACTCCTCTCTGTAGAAATGCTAATGGACTGAGTCCTGAGGAATGCAATTCTTTATTGCCTTGTGGACACAGCAGTTTTGCATGTATTTGTACATTCATTTCAGCTTTCCTTATTGCTCATATATATCTTTAAATTCATCTGAATTAATTGTAACATCTTACTGGTTATCTCATTAATTAATGAGTCAAAATCTTGGGCATATGTCCATTTTATATTTGCATGTACTGTAATTTTATTTTTAAATTATCTTTTAACAATACACTTCTAATTTTGTTCCTAGCCACATAATTCAAGTTAAGTGTTTCCATAAACTTCATAAGTAGACTTAGAGACTTTATTCACTTTTTCAGGGAATAGTGAACATATGAGGCTCTTAAATAGTACCAGATTATAATTATTTAATCTACCCTATAAAAGGAAATTTATAAAATATTGGAATAAAGTATCCTTTTAAATGTATTATTTTAGCTACAAATGAGAACATAAGAATCAGTATTTTTAAACCATAACCATCAATAAGAGAGGACAGGCCAGGCACAGGGGCTCACGCCTGTAATCCCAGCACTTTAGGAGGCTGAGACAGGAGAATCACTTGAGCCCAGAAGTTTGTGACCAGCCTGAGCAACATAGCAAGACCCCTTATTTCAAAAAAAAAAAAAAAAATTAAATTAAATAAATTAGTTGGGTGTGGTGGTGTGTACCTGTAGTCAGAGCTGCTTGGGAAGCTGAGGCAGCAGTATTGCTTAAGCCTAGGAGTTAAAGGCTACAATGAGCTATGATCTTGCCACAGCTACTCCAGCGTGGGCAACAGAGCAAGACCTTGTCTGTTAAAAAAAGAGAGGCCAGGCCAGGAGCAGTGGCTCACACTTACAATCCCAGCACTTCAGGAGGCTGAGGCGGGCGAATCACCTGAGGTCAGGAGCTTGGGACCAGCCTGGCCAACATGGTGAAACCCCGTCTCTACTAAAAATACAAAAAAACCCACCAAAAAACCCTTAGTTGGGCATAGTGTGGCGTGCCTGTAATCCCAGCTATTCAGGAGGCTGAGGCAGAATTGCTTGAACCCAGGAGGCAGAAGTTGAAGTGAGCCAAGATCACGCCACTGCACTCCAGCCTGGGTGACAAGAGTGAAACTCCATCTCAAAAAAAAAGACAGAATTCTACTCCAATTCATGTTTGCTGAAAGGACATTCAGACATTTTCCAGATTCATCTCTTCTACTCCATCTAAACACTAAACAGGCCTGTACATTGTTCTCTTCTTATCTTCCTTCTGTAAATGAAGAAGTCTTTTAAAATTTTGTTTTATATACTGTTTTTAATAAAGAAAAGTAGAATTCTTAGGTGTCTGGCACTAATGGTCTACCTGTGAAAATCTTCATTTTGAGAAAGAATCAGCATGATAAGAGACAAATCTCTCTTTTAGAGATCTCCTGTATAATAAAATGTTAATCAGCAGACTCCAAAACCATTCGCCACACAATTAGGTTGATCATGATATCCTGGAAAATTTACAAAGACAGAAAGTAATACTCTGTTCACTATTGCTTGGAGGATACTCTCTTTGAGGCAGTTAACATGTTCTACAGAAGGTGCTGGAACTAGTGTGCATGCATGTGTGTGTCTGTGCATGTGCATGTGTGCAAGATACTCATAGTTATTTTCTCAGGTCCTGTTTTGCCACACTGGAAATAAACTAATCATTGGGAATTGCTTAAAACTGAAACGTACTCTGCAATTTTATAAAGCACCCAGAGCACAGAAAAGGTGCTGCACAAATTCTTTTTCCAATTTGCTTCATTAAGCCAATAAACCATAATGGTCCTTCAGGAGAAATCAAACTTTATTGGACGTAGCCAACCAGACTGAAGACAAGAGGGGCTTATAAGTGTGCCTGAAGTATTGGCATATTTTCACTCTGCAAATACCTACAAAAAGTTTTCAAATTTATGTAAAGCTTCTAGCACAGACATATAAATATTGAACCACAGAACTCGCTGTTTCTACATTTTATTACTTGTTTCATCAAAAGGAGTTTTTGAAGGTCTCTTCATCTAATCCCAAGACAATAAAATTACCACAATTAATCTTTACACTAATAAATTGTTTCGATGTATATGTGTGAGTGACCCAGGGAACCACAATTAAAAAACAAATTTGATGAATGGTTAGCTTTTCGGTAGTCAAACATTAAAGCCAAATGGTAGTGTTAACCTGTTTCATTGTTTAATAATAAATCTTAGACTATAACGTGAAAAAAAAAACAGTAACCCTGAATGAAAATTGGCAGGTCATAAAATATTAGAGGCATAATTTCATCTCTAGATAGCATTTCTAAGCAAACAAAGAATGTTCTCTTTCACCATGACGTGGAAAAGGAGTCTCATTATCTCATGCATTCTGCTTTAGATGGACAATCTCTCTGAACAGCTGAGTCATGAGACATTTCAAAGAGGCAGATGAGCTTATTATCCAAAACTTAGAGAAGGCGATAATGACTCGAGATGAATGTACTGGGCTTCATTTTCTGGGATTACCAACTTTAATTAATAGAAATTATCCAGCAGAACAAATAGCTAACTAATGCAAAAGAATGCACCTAAAAAAAACATAAGACAATGAATTCAGTCCTTGCTCACTATCTAAGCATAGATAATTATAAAATGGAGATAGGGGTTATAGGCTTTGGCCTAATATATTTTGTAAGAAATGGACTTGTACTCAGCTAATTAATATAAGCAAGTTCAATACTGTATTGCAAAAATTATGTGAGGTTTAATGAAAATAATTTCAATATTTCCTGATTGCTATGTGTTTGACAGAAAAAATAAACATATGTAGTTATCCTAGTCAGTAACAAAATAATCTCTATTTTTATTTTAAATGATGTCTTTGAGCTCAGAAGTTGTGTTTGCTGACCCGTACCCCTACTTGAGATAGACTTTCTTTCCTGATCAATAAGGAGTGACATCAAAGAGCATAGAAGATTTAGAGAAAGAAGAAGACATAAAATTAACTATTCCTTCTTTGATCTTGTAGTTTCCTGATAATTATCAAGTAAGAGGGCACTGTTACTTTGTTCTTATAACAAAGAGAACCACTTATAAAGGTCAGCAAAAGGATGGACAAGTTACATACTGAAAAAAAAGTGAGAAAGTTAAATTAAG
Source organism: Homo sapiens (assembly GCF_000001405.40). Taxonomy (NCBI): domain Eukaryota; kingdom Metazoa; phylum Chordata; class Mammalia; order Primates; family Hominidae; genus Homo; species Homo sapiens. Next base: position 168,469,826 of record NC_000003.12, on the reverse strand, counting down.
AAATGATTTAAAAGTACACATTTCAACTGATGAAAAGAAGAAAGAGTCCAAAGGCAATAATGTTATGTGAGTTGTTTTAAAACAACTCAAATGAATCAGAGAATCATGCTGTTTCAGGCACGATTCTAATCACTGTTTTTAGGACATTTATGAAAGAGCTCTTTTAATGTTTATAGAAGATATACATTTGAACTGAATTTCAGTATCAAAATCCACATGGTTTGTATATACTTCACAACATAACCTAAACAAACATTGCTTTAGTAAAACGAAATAAAAATAAAGTGTCTCCAAAGAGTTTTATTTTGGTCGAGTAAAAGAGATGATAGTCTTCCACATCAAATTCATATTAAGAAATGTTACTTTCAAAAATGTATAGTGGTTTCTGTAAATCTAATGAAAATATCTACTCCAGACTAACTGAAAGATTAATAAAATCAACAGTGTTTTCAGTCCTATACAGCGAATATTTATCACACGATTGGAGATGCATTTTCGTTCACAGAAATACTGTAAAACTAGTTAATTGACCTCCTGGCATTGCCAATGAGAAGATTTCATTCATAAGCCCAATTCATTTAATTATTTGTACTTAAAATTGAATTAGAGTTTATTTCCTAGTTCCACCACAATAAAAAGGGAATTGAATATACAACTAAATCAAACTGAACTCTGTTGGCATATATAATTAATTAGCTTAGAAATTATTGCCAAGATGGTTACTTAAACCCAATATAAAAAAGTTACCAAAAATGATAACATAAGGATATAATAATTTCATTAGTGTTGAAAATTTGTGATGAACTCAAAGCCCATGCCATAAAATTACCCATTACTTTTCCTTAAAAAACAATTTGTAGTTCAATAGTTAACTCTACTTGGATTTTAACAACCTAAAAAACAAAAATAAAATGAACCTTCTCCTAAGTTCCAAACAACACAGAGTTAATAATGTTCTAATTTAAGTAGGGGAAAATGAGATTCAATCTCATCCGTTACTTTTTAGGAGTTTTGAGCTTGTTTATTGACTGCTATAAATTCTGACTGGAATCCTTACAGATGTAATCATCATGCGACTAATAGAAGCATCAGGTTTTCTTCAGAATGAGAATTTTTCATTTAAAATAAAACTTTATCAAGTCAGTGGTGTTCAAGCCACTAATAAGCTAGTTTGGCAAACAGCTATATTACTCATTTACAATATATTACGGTAAATAAGCTCCAATATAGACTTCTTAAAACTATTTTATTTTTAATAATACACATTCAATATAGAAAATTTTTAAAACATAGAAAATTGTTTAAAAAGCAAATCTCATCACCCAGTGATAATCACTGTTCACATATGACCATTGAAGAGAGCAATTTAAATTGTTTCATTTTGAATAACATCATTTTGGGGATGGTAAGCAGTTTTTGAGTCTAGAAATTTCCCTTAAGGGAATTTTCCTTCTACAAAGGGCCACTTTTGCAAATCTTTTAGTTAATCAGGCATTTGGCTGGTACTTTTACTGGGAAAACTTGCTTCAGATTGAGGTGTTAGTGGTTTTTTGCAGTGTTATAAATTGGCTCTTTTGGTAGGATTGTCATTTACAGAGTTAGAAAATATTTTGTTCCTCAAATCCACATTTGGATTACCCTATGATAAAATTCATTTTTATTCTTCAGTGCATGCTGTGCTATCATATAAGCATTTGGTCACTAAAAAATTAAGAATTCACTCATGGCAGAAGGACATGTCACCCTAATCAAACCTTAACTTTATAATCCAGGGGATCACAACCTGGATGGGGCTGCATCCACAGTAAAATATTTAAAACTGAATGATGTAGGCTTTGCAAAGAGTAGCATAAATATTATAATTATGGAGGTTATGGGAATCCATGCATTTTCCTTATGAGAGAAAATATCCTATGCAGGAGATAAATGTTTCCACCATCCTGCATCCTGGATCAGGATATTCATGGGCGCTGGACTTCAGGCACATAAATGTCTTCCTCCTCTCTCTGTAACTGTAGTACATTTGGGTTCAGACTTTAGATATGAACCTTTCTAGAAACTGTTTCTGGAAGTTGAACTAGTTTAGTATATGGGGACCTCGTGAGAAAGCAGATATGAGGTAATATTTAGGCTTTAAATACAAGGAGCCGCCATTGATAGAAACAAATTTGTGCTGTAGTTCTACTATTCCCAGGCCTTATTAAAATCTGGAATGATTATGTTGTGGGTATTGGTGAGAGTCGGGACCCAACTCCAAGACTAGAGGAGCAGAACTGGTAACAATAACCAGTAGATGGCAGCGAGTCTCTGAAGACTGGAGAACTCACAAGGTCCATCAACAGTGAGGTCAAGACACAATGTCCACAACAAAGGCCAAAGAAGAACCTGTTACAGAGCGTGGGTAGACTGCCCTATGAGAAACTCTTAAAGATAACTCAGAGACCTTTAAGGGCCCTTCTGGCAGGTTGGCTGGTGTGTAGAAATAACATATAATCACATTATAAAGACCTAGGCAAGTGAGGCTGATGGCATATGAGAATGCATGTATAAATGTGTCGTATTTACTTTCAGTTTTACATTCTGCTTTTTCTTTTCACGCCATAAGATTAGTTTCTATATGTGTAACTGAATTGTCATTGAATATATAATTGTCATATATATATAAATATACAATGTCACATTTGATACATATATACATCAATATCATATACATGTTGAGCATCTCTAATTCAAAAATCCAAAATGTCCCCAAATCCAAACCTTTATGAGCACTGACCTTGTGCCACAAGTAAAAAATTCCACACCTGATCTCATGTGATGTGTCTCATTGAAAACACAGGTGCACAACACACAGTTTATTCAGTGTCCCCAAGGGGGTTACAATACAGTGTACAGTAACCTTTTAATCAAAACACATCATTGCAGATGAAGACTGAAAGGCTACCCTTGTTTGCCATCACTGTTGTTTAACAGCTGATAAGGTATTTTGGTGATGCTACTGTGCTGCTTAGTTACCCTGAACACATTATTTTTTCACTTGTATTAATGGTATGCTATATGTTTTACTGTTAAATATTTAATGGGTTAATAAGTGTAAGAAAATGATTGCTTATCTGAAGATGAATTAAGAATCATGAATTACAGTGATGCCAAAAAACCTGGGTGGCCGAGACAGTGACGTTGCTTTCTGTTGGTTAACTGTATACAAATTTTGTTTCATGCACACATTTTTTGAAATATCACATAAAATTGCCTTCAGCTATGTGTATAAAATATATAGGAAACATAAATAATTTTTGTGTTTAGATTTGGTTTCTATCCCCAAGGTACCTCATTATGTATATACAAATATTTCAAAATCCAAAAAATCTGAAATCAGAGGCATTTCTGGCCCCAAGCATTCTGGATAAGAGATACTCAACCTATATATGACATATAAATATATGTGAATATATAACATGAATACATGTATGAAGATATAACTGTCATAAATATATGTTTTTATTGGTTGTGTAACATTACTTTGTACGGATATTCTGAATACTGCAATTTAATCATTTCTCTTATTGCAGACTTAAATTATTTTTTCCTATTAAATAATTTGGCTATATATATATCTTTGAACATAAATACTCTGCAACATCTGTGATTATTTTCCTAACTGAATCAGCATTACCAACTCTGCCTAAGAGGGGTACTCTAAGTCTATATGTAGGACAGGAAATACTGATATCGAAGGAGAAAAAAAAAGTAGTATGCTGTGCATCATAGGGCCTGAAGGGGAAACAGGCATTGAGGCAACTCCTTAATCTCTCATAGCATGGAATGGTATTTTATTTCTGTTCCTGACTTTCAGTCTTCTGTATTCTCCTGGATTTCTCTGCAGAGCCACTTTATTTGCTTACCTATGATTCTTGTTTCCTCAAATCCAGTTTTTGTGTAGATTCAGCTTCCTTGCACTAACTCAAGACCCAGATTAAGACCAACTTTCTTCTCCCTCCACCTAACTGGAATAGGTTCATATTACTTAGTCAAGAGCTCACACTAAAATATCCAGGTAGTATGCTGGTATTATTTGAGTTCACTACTAGTCCAATCATTTGTGGGCGTGGTCTTGTCTTTTAAGGCTGTTGCTACCAGCTGCTGTGACTCATTATAAATCTGCTAAAATGGAAATTGGATTGAATGTTTACAATATTATATCTTCATATGTTGGGGAATGATATTTCTTCATTTGTTTGAGTCTGAATAAATCTACAACAATTTCTGGAGGATATTTATTACTTATTGAATATTAGGGATAATCCTGGATTTTTCCTGTAATTTAGAAGCGATTCATATCTTCTAGTGGTTGTAGATGTGTGGTCTTCTGAGTTCTCCATTTTGTTCCATTGGTCTATGTGTCTGTTTTTTGTACCAGTACCATGCTGTTTTGGTTACTGTAGCCTTGTAGTATAGTTTGAAGTCTGGCAGCGTGATGCCTCCAGCTTTGTTCTTTTTGCTTAGAATTGTCTTGGTTATATGAGCTCTTTTTTCATTCCATATGAATTTTAAAATAGTTTAATTCTGTGAAGAATGTCAATGGTAGTTTAATGGAAATAGCATTTAATCCATAAATTGCTTTGGGCAGTATGACAATTTTCACAATATTGATTCTTCTATCCATGAGCATGGAATGTTTTTCCATTTGTTTGTGTCATCTCTGATTTCTTTGAATAGTGGTTTGTAGTTCTCCTTGAAGAAGTCCTTCACTTCCACTGTTAGCTGTATTCCTAGGTATTTTATTATTTCATGGCAACTGTGAATGGGAGTTCATTCTTGATTTGGCTTTTGGCTTGCCTGTTGGTGCATAGAAATGCTAGCAATTTTTGCACATTGATTTTGTATCCTGAGACTTTGCTGAAGTTGCTTATCAGCTTAAGAAGCTTTTGAGCTGAGACAATGCTGGTTTTCTAGGTATCGGATCTTGTAATCTGCAAACAAAGACAGTTTGACTTCCTCTCTTTACGTTTGAATATCCTTTCTTTTGCTTGCCTGATAGCCCCGACCAGAACTTTCTATACTGTGTTGAATAGGAGTGGTGAGAGGTGGCACATTCTTGTCTTGTGCTGGCTTTCAGGGGAATGCTTCCAGATTTTGCCCATTCAGCATGATATTGGCTGTGCGTTTGTCATATATGGCTCTTATTATTTTGAGGTATGTCCCTTCAATACCTAGTTTCCTGAGAGTTTTTAACATGAAGGATGTTGAATTTTATCAGAGGCCTTTTCTGCATCTATTGAGAAAATCATGTGTTTTTTAGTCTTAGTTCTGTTTATGTGATCACTCACAGTTATTGATTTGTGTATGTTGAGCCAACCTTGCTTCCTGGGGAATGAAGTCTACTTATTTGTGATGGATAAGCTTCTTGATGTGCTTCTGGATTCAATTTGCCAGTATTTTATTGAGAATTTTTGCATCAATGTTCATCAAGGATATCGGCCTGAAGTTCTTTTTTGTTGTTGTATCTCTGCCAGGTTTTAGAATTTTTATGTTGATTCTATTACATCTTCTGGATAAAGAATCATGTTTATTTTCACAAAATGATAATCATATAACTCCTTTTCAATAATTTTATGTCCATTCTGGCCTCCCATCAGAACTCTACAATTGGATAACCAGCTTGTCACTTGAATCTCTACTTAAGGGCTTAATAAATGTATTAATCTTAAACCACATTTTCTCATCCCTAAGCATTTCCTTTCTCATTAAATGATACCACTATCCATCAAATTTCTTAGCCAAAACCACAGGAGTTATCCTTGATTCCTCTTTGATTCTTCACATCTTCAAATCAATCAGTCTGACCTGTTTTTTATCCTCCATAATATATCCCAGTTGAAACATTCCCACCCTTTCTGCTCTGCCCATGCCACACCAAGCCACATTTATTTCTCCTTTGAACTACTATAATAACCTCCTTACTGGCTTCTCTCTCTTTTGTACCCTTCATGCCCCACAATAAAATGGAGCAACCAAGGTTACCTTTCCAAAATGTAAACCCAGATCAAGCCAAACTCCTTCCTAACATCCTCAAATAACATCTCATTTTTCCACACTGGAGAAAACAAAATCTAATGTCCATAAACAGGCAAAGCTATGAGCTGTAAGGCACCAGAACTCTCCTCTGTAGCAAAAATATCTTAAGAGCATAGATCTCTCAGTCTAGGAGAAGGAGGAAATGGACAGAATTCTGGTATACCCTCAGTGTCCTCATTCCTGATGTTCCTGATGCCAGATATACCTCCTAATTCATACATCATATTATTCGGTTACTTAGGCTAACACAATCTTCACTGCTGCTGGAGCTACTCTGAATTGGGTTTCTCTTATTTGTAATGGAATTTCAACCATTCTAAATGATATGTTCTGTTTGGGGCTGAATTTTTAAAACTAGAAGAAGAAAGCCCTTTCCTTCTTTCTTCTTGAGTAATTTCTAACAAGTATTAGTTTTTCTTTAAAACACAATAGATAAGAAGGTTTTTGGAAACATGGCAGAGTAGGAAGCACCTGAAGTCTGTCTCCTCACCTAGACAAAAACGGTACTGGCAGAATCTGTTTGATGTAACTGTTAGAACTCAGGTGTATACTGAAGGCTTGCAACTTCCAGGGTAAGGCTGAAACCAAAAACTGAGGTAAATTTAGGTCAATTTCATCTATTACCATAGTAGCCACTACTCATCCACTTACCCCTTAGCCCTCTGGCAGGAAACTGTGCATGTGCTCCAGGAGCAGCTTGTATACCACTTGCAGGAGCCAGGGTGGGCACAAAACATCCTGTCCTCCAAATACCATGGATTTGTGCTCTGATCACTAATTGCTGCTTCTGATCACAGAGCCGCACACAAAGAGGCAGTGGCTATTGTTGTTGCAGTTACCCTTTGTTGCAAGTTGCTCCTCGTTTGGTTGAAGTGATTTGCATGAAATTTAAAAAGGCAGTGCCAGTGTCTTTTTTCCTTCTAATTTTTCCCTTTGCCCCCTTTTGAGAGCCATACATTAAAGACTAGGACATTCAAAAGCAGTCACATGTACAGGGGGAATCAGAAAGTTACTGCACTTGTCCAGGGGGAGGCACAGGCTGAGAAAAGACCTGAGAAGACCTTCACTTTACACACTTGTAAAGTGTGTATGCTTGGCACAGAAACAGCCTACACCAATAAAAAAAAATAAGTAAACAACAACAAAACAAATAAAAACCAGCAAACCCTGGGGAAGGAGGATAATCTGATATCCAGAGTTATCATACTACTATACTCAAATATTTAGTTTTCTACAAGGCATACAAAGTATGGCCAATTCAAATAAATGAATAAACAAATAGAAATTGCCCCTAAAAAAAAAACTGATGGCAGATCTATCAGAAAAAGTCTTTAAAACAACTGTCTTAAAGATGTTCAGAGAAGTAAAGGAGATGTGGAGAATGTCAAGAAAATGATGTATCAACAAAATGGAAATATCAATAAAAAGACAGAAAATCTAAAAAGAAAGAAAAAGTTCTAGAGGTTAAAAGTACAATAACTGAAATGAAAAACTCCTTAAAGGTATTTAAAGACATATTTGAGCAGGCAGAATAAAGAATCAATAAACTTGAAAATAGGACAATGGAAAATATTAAGTCTGAGGAAAAGAAATAAAAAGATTGCAGAAAAATGAACAGAGCCTTTCAGTCTTGTGGAACACATCAAGTGGACCAACATATGCATTGTGGGAGTTTCAGAAGGAGAAGAGAGAGAAAAATGGTAAGGGAAACTATTTTTAAAAATAATGGTCAAAATCTTAAATTTGATTAAGGACATGGATATAAATATCCAAGAAGTTCAACAAACTCAAACAAAAAGAACTCAAAGAGAACCACACTGAGACACATTATAATTAAACTGTCAAAAACCAGAGACAAAGAGCAAATTTTGAAAGCAGGTTAGTCTTTTACATGACTAATAATATATAAAAGATGCTCAATAAGTTTATAAAAATTACTTATTAAAACATTTGAGAGCCAGAAATCAGTGGGCTTATATATTCAAAGGGCCAAAGGGGGAAAAAAAACATTCAACCAAGAATACTATATTTATCAAAACTGTTCTTCAAAAGTGAGGGAGAAGCTAAGACACTCTCAGATAAAAAACGGTGAGGTAGTTTGTTACCGCTAGACCTGCTCTGCAGGAAATGCTAAAAGGAGATGGCAAGTTGAAATGAAAGAACAGTAGAGAGTAACTGGAAACTTTATGAAGCAAACAAATCTAATTACAGGTAAATTATTGCAATTATAAAAGCTCTATATGGTGTATCCATTTCTAGTACTGGTTCTTGTCCGAAAATTGGGTCCAGAAATTACTTCTGGCAACCTAGTGACTAACTAGGTGACAGAAGTGTAGTAGCAATAAAAGTAACAAAGTAATGAGAAAATGAACTATAAGCATCTTCAGGACTGATAGCAGGGACAGCTAATAATAGTATGGCAACAATAATGCCAGAAGTTTGGGGATGGCAATGCCTACAGCTGGGGTATAGGAAGAGAGAAAAACTAATAGATTATTTTTTCTGTGAGGCTGCCATATTTTTTATTGTTTTTGAACTGTGAGGTGGAAATAGATGCTTTCTACAATTTGATTTGTGTGTGTGTGTGTGTATGTGTGTGTCCTATGGTGACATTTTATGATATATCATATATTTATGACAGTTTTTCTTTTTATCTTTTTATATTTCTAGAGATGGGCTTTCACTATGTTGCTCAGTTGATTTTATATTTCTAGAGATGGGCTTTCACTATTTTGGTCTTGAACTACAGGCTGCAAATGATTTTCCTGCCTTGGTCTTCTGGAGTACTAGGATTACAGTCATTAACCACCATGTCCAGCCACAGTTTTTCTTTAAAAATGTTTTTCCCTGTCATTAATTTTTAAAATTTTAGGTTTTTTTGATGAAAAAATTTGAAACTTTCTTTAATTTACAAATTTAAAATTGTATACATTTATGGTGTATAATATGATGTTTTGAAATATGTATACATTGTGAAATGGCTAAATCAAGCTAATTAACATATTTATTACCTACTGTACCTAATTTTTTATGGTGAGAATACTTAAAATCTACTTGTCAACAATTTTCAAGTAGATAATACATTGTATTAACTGTAGTCACCGTGTAGTATAATAGATCTCTTGAACTTATTTCTCCTATATAATTGAAATTTTGTATCTTTTATTCAACATCTACTCAACCTGTACCTACTCCCAAGTGTTGGTAACCACCATTCTATTCTCTGCTTCTGTGAGTTTGAATTATTATTATTATTATTATTTTAGATTCAGGGAGTACATGTGTGTTTGTTACATAGATATATTGCATAATGCTGGGCTTTAGGCCTCTATTGAACCCATCATCCAAATAATAAACATAGTACCCAATATGCAGAAAACCTAACAGAGGTAGAGGTGAGGCAGATCACAAGAAGGATTAGAACTTGAACCAAAAGGATCAGGAAGCTGATCAAGGAAAATAGGTTCAGATTGAAATAGATGAAAAACACCGACAATAAATGGAATGGCTCAATAAACTTGAATTTCTATTTTTACAAAAAATTACTGACATTATTCTAAGTTCCAAGTGGATAACTTCCAGAACAGTTGAAGTCCTAGCAAAATTGTTTCCATAAGAATAAATACTTCTACATTAGGATTCTATACATTCCTGCTATTCAGATTGCTATTCACAGGTTAATAATTTCAACCAAAGGAAACCGAAAGGGTAACAATGTGTATGTTATAAAAAATAATGTTTAAATATGGTTTTAGACAATTTAACATATTCAGAGGCACATTCAATAAATTACCTCTTCATAAATATTAGGAGTATTAAATACTAAAATGTAATCATTTTTAATAAGAATCCCAGTTCTGGACTTTAAGAATTAGGATGGCTTGACTGACACAAAACAGCCTGGGTTGTAATTATTGTGTCCTTTGATGTTGCATTCACATATTAATTCTATGAGGCTGTTCATCTGATTCTTGGGTTTAAATGACAACAAAAAGAATTTAGGGTAATGATGAAAAAATCTTTTTTGACAGTTCAAGTTATTAAACACTGAAATAAGTTTAAAAAAAGAGATTACTGAATCATTTTCTCTCAAAGCCTAAAAGAAAGCATAGATTCCCATCTCACTGGGATGACTTAATAATAGCAGCTTTTATGGGAGGCAGATGGAGACGCTGAATAACTGCCAAATTCTTTCAAATTTGATGATTCAAATCCCAAACAGTTTGAAAAAGTCTTTCAATTGTGTGACAAAGTTCTTCATAGGCACCAGAAATCTATGTCTGAAAGCCACTGTAGGGTATTGGTGCTCATCACTTTGTATTTTCATTTATAACTCAGAGCTATATTTGTGCGGTGAAGAAATGAGGAAGTAAAAAGGAACAAAAGAAAAAAAGAATAAAAAGATATTTATTACTTTTTTCAAATTTATCTACTTGGACCTACACATAATCAGATTTGGAAATAGTATTTCATAAGCACAAATTACAAATATATAGGATTCTGTATTTCTGCCTGTGGTATACAGGCTATCCTTCACTGTATTCTTCTACATCAAACACTACTGGTATAATTTTACTTTGGCACAAGCTTTCTTTGAATTAAATAATGATCAATAGATATATAATTTGGGGAGAGAGAAGGAACTCTATAAATAACTGCCAAAAATAATAAAATATCTTAACCTGACCTTACAACATGGATACTTAATAATTTCAGATTAAGTCCCAGAAAACTTCCTTAAGTGAAATCATCATACTCTAAAAAAATTTAAAATTATTTTAGTAAGGAACTGATGTATATGTTTACTTTAATTACTTATAAGCATCCCATGTATATTTTTAAAATAAAATTTGAAATAATTATTTTACTGGTTTATGGAGCATATTAGATTCTTCTAACAACAATTTTTTTTTCTTAGCTCTGGCATCTTTTTTGTACACACTAAGTGCTTGGAAAATTTATTGTTAAAAAGCTATCACATCCATATCTGAGATTTTGATCTTATCAATTTATTCGTTAATTAGGGGAAGATAAAATCCAAGTTTAATAATACCAATAAAATGATTAAAAACTGAATTGCTTTGTGACTTAAATATTAAGCTGAGTCACAAAGACAATATAAATGCAAAAGCAAAAACTGAAAGAAAAGGGATTTCTAATAAAAAATAATTTCAGGTTCTTAGTGAAGTTACGTAATGAATTACAAATGATGTATTGCTTTTCGGAAAAACAGGAAGAAAAGAAAGAGAGAAGGAAGGAAGAAAAGAGAGAAAGAGAAGGAAGGGAGGAAGTGGGGAAGGGAGGAAGGGAGGAAGTGGGGAAGGGAGGGAAGGGAAGAAGGGAGGAAGTCAGGAAGGGAGGGAAGGGAGGGAAAGAGGGAGGGAGGAGGAAGAAGGAAAGGAAGGAAGAAAGACGATGCATCTTAAATCACTGAAGTTTTCGGTACAAGAAATATATAATTTGTTTAGCAACTTTAATATATACTGTCATCTCAGATGGCTTCTTGGAAGCAAACAAATGACTTGTAAATCTTAAGTACACAAAGCTGCCTGTGAACATGCAATTGCAGTGACAATACATAAAACACCACAGAGTAAATGGTGCATCACTCTGATTCAGTGCTTGCTGTCATTTTCACAAAGATACATACACAACCAAAGCCAATGTACAAGTGATTCTGGAAGAATATTGAAGAGGCTCTGAGCAAATATACACAGCTATATAAATCCACTCTCATCCGTGGATAATTTAGAAGCAGAAATAAACCATGTTATTATAACACAATGTAGCTACTCTTGCTACCATAAAGACAATAAACATCAAAAAGACACTTTGAATGGTACTATGAAGTCATAATGGAAATGACTTTCATATGGAAAATGCTCAGGCACTGTTTTCAAAGATTAATTCACTTGAAATTGATTTATTTAAAACCATTTCCAATTCCTGCATCCTGACATGCTTGGTTCTTGGTCATTAAGCAATGAACCCTTTTGATGTTAGCCCACATAATCACATTAGCGAAACTGAAATGTACAGCAAAGAATCTTACTAAAAAGTGTAACTGCCAAGAGACAATGGAAATTAAAAGCATTTCTACCCAATCACTAAAAATTATATTCTCAGTAATTCCCTGGGTTAAAATGCCCAAAACTACAATATCTCTGTGCCAGTATTTAAAATGAAGCAAACAGCATTCTATTACCACTGGCTGGTAATGCACACAGAAGTCTATTGTTAAGTAAGAGAAATTGATTAATATGAATAAACTTGATTCAACTCTGTGGAATATTATCTCAGAATTATAGCAGTGGCCAAGAGTAGGATTTCAGGATCAGGGCAGCATAGGTGTCTCTGTTTTGCCACTTCCTCATTGTGTGACTTCTTGGAAAAGTTACATAAATCATTGTAAGTCTCAGTTTTTTTTCCTCCTTAAAATTAGAGATAATTGTTGTGTCTACATTGTAGGCTTGATGAGAGAATTAAAATTAATAATTTGTATGGAGCGCTGTATGGAGCGCTGATGGCAGAGCCTGGCCTAAAGAAAGCACCCAATTAAAAAGTTAAAATATTATGATTATTATTATAAACCCAATTTTTCTATCAGACAGAATAAGTAACAAAATTTCAGTAACAATATAAGAACTGAAACGCAAAGTTCCACAGATAATTTTTTAGTTTCTTTCTTCAAGAGTTCTTCAATAATCTAGGGGCAAAATTATCTTACAGAAAGCAAAACGAGGTGAGTGAGGGAAAAAGAAAAAAAACTAGTGAGGAAAGAAATATTGACCAAGCATCTGTGTCCTATGTAATAGCCCCCGTATCAGGCACTCATGCATCACCTTGTTTAATTTTTGGAGCAATCTGATATTTGTAGCATGCATAAGGAGCCTCCAAGAAAGGAAACCAGAATTTTAACCAATGTCCCTTATTCTATCCCATGATGCTTCCAGGAAAGAAAATATAAATATTTAATACTGATGTAACAATAAGTAATAAGGAGTGGGGCAGGAAAGTGCTGAGTAGAGAAGGGTGGGATCCCTGGTGAGGCCTCCACCCTTGGGCTTGTGCCCCTGGACCTAAGTGAGAATGGGCACTCCTGTTTTCATGCCCAAATGTTGCAATTTCCAAGAAAACTCTGGTCTACAAAGCCCCTCATCCTGTGCCCATATAAACCTGATACCTTAGTGGGCACAGATACAAGCAGTTGAACATTGAAAGGAACACAGGAACAGACCGACAGGCAGACCAGTGACAGCAGAATGATGCAGCAGAGAAAGAGAAGAGTAGCGACGTCTGGATGCTGAAGGGAACTCGGCCGGGGGTGATCAGAGAAGAGTCCAGCCGCTTGGGTGGCCCAACTCCAGGGGAAGACTACCTTCCCACTCCATAACCCTTCAAGCTCCCCATCCAACTCACTAAGAGCCACCTCCACCACTCAATACAACCTTGCACTCATCCTTTGAACCCAGGTGTAATACAATTTTCCAGTACACTGGGCAAGAGCTCGGGATACAGAAAGCTGTCACGCTGGCCCTCTGCCCTTGCAATAAGGCAGAGGGTCTGTTGTGCTGATTAACACAAGTCATCTGCAGACAGCAAAGTTCAAAGATCCCACTGTAACACATGCCCACTTGGGCTTCAGGAGTCGCAGACACCCACCCCTAGATGCTGTCGTGGGGTTGGAGCCCAAAAGCACTCCCCCATAGCCTCTGCACCTGCCCATCTGCATGCTCCCCTAGGGGTTTGAGCACGGAGATGACGAAAGCAGCAAGCCACACCCCTGTCACACATTGTGCAAGGGGGATAAGGGAACTCTCCTGTTTCATAAGGACTATATCAAACGAATTTTTGAAATTCACAAATCTTACATGCAATAACAAAGATCAATCTATCCCCTGATGTAGTCATAATTTTAATCAACATTAAAGGTATTGCCTAAATAATTAACTACAAGGTTGTAAAGGAAAGCTCAACTTGTAATAGCATTATATTCTGGGAAGAAATGTTTAGCAGCAACAACAACCAAAAGGTAGAAAGGGTATGCTAGATCAGTGTTCCATTGAGTGTCGTCCATGGAACATGGGCATGAATTACTTGGTGTGCCTTCTGAGGCAGATTTGCCAACAAGATAGTCAAGCTTAAGCTTCTAGGATACTTAACTGTGACACTGTACCTAATTTTATCCTTGTGATCTTGTGTTATTTTTCTTTTAGAACGACCCCCCAAACTGGATTGGGTCCTAGACCTACAAAACTTAAATTTTTCTCCTCTGCCTGTTAAAATGCAGATTCATGGGTCCCATGTCAGATATTAATCAGGATCTCTGGCAGTGGAGCCTAAAATATCTTCATTTTTAAATAGGAGACCCCAAGTGATTTTATAGTAACATTACATCTTTTAAAAAATTACTGACACAAAAATGTACATATTTATGGGGTACAACGTCATATTTCAATGCATGTAGGAATATTACATCTTGAGATTCAGTGTTCTAGAGACATACTATGAATTACAGAATACTGAACTTTGGATATTTATTTAATTGCCAACTCTCCATTATTCACATTTCAGCAATGTAAATAAACCCTCACATCAACTTTCATTTACATATCACTTTTTCTCGAACTACTGACCTCAAGTGATCCACCCGCCTCAGCCTCCCAAAGTGCTAGGATTACAGGCGAGAGCCACCATGCCCAGCCTACATACCACTCTTTGTATTGGTATTTATATTTGACTAAGAGTTTGCTTGTTGTCATGGGTTTGATTTGTGCCCCCATAAAAGACATGTTCACCCAGAACCTGTGAATATGACCTTATTTGGAAAAAGGATCATTGCAGATGTAATTAAGTTATAAGGTATAATGGGAGTGGTGGGAACATTGTCTTTTTGGTTAGGAAAGACAGAGGAGAATGTAAACATTGAATAATATTAGATGCTAAATTTAAAAATATTAGAATAAATATGTTTTAAAAATTTAGGAATCATTAATAAAAAAACAAGATAAAAAATCCAAATCACAAAAAAGGATAAAATATTTTTAAATGGCCAATTTTTAAAAAAATCAATAATAACTTGAATCAAGCAAGAACAACAAAGATGGCAACCAGAAAACATAAAACAGGATATTATAATTTTTTTAAAAAAGTAATAAATTCATCTATGTGCTGATTGTAAAGGTAGAGATGAAACAAAATGGCACAGAAAGGTTGAAATAAAAGGATAGAAAAGATACATCAGACAAATGTGGAAAGAAATAAAAAGGAAATATAGCAATACAGTCATCCCTTGGTATCCACATGGGATTGATTCCAGGACCCTCTTGGCTACCTATAATTATCCACAGATGCTCAAGTCCCTTATATAAAATGGCACAGTATTTGCATATAACCTAGGCACATTCTCCCATATAGTTTAAATCATCTCTAGATTCCTTATAATAGATAATACAATATAAATGCTGATATAGTTTAGCTATGTCCCCACCCAAATTTCATCTTGAATTCCCATGTGTTGTGGGAGAGACCACTGGGAGGTAATTGAATCATGGGTGCAGGTATTTTCTGTGCTGTTCTCACAATAGTGAATAAGTCTCATGAGATCTGATGATTTTTAAAGCGAGAGTTTCCCTGCACAAGCTTCTTCCGTTGTCTGTCATCATGGGAGATGTGCCTTTGACATTCCACCATGATTGTGAGGCCTCCTCAGCCACATGGAACTGTAAGTCCATTAAAACCTCTTTTTCTTCCCAGTCTCGGGTATGTCTTTATCAGCAGCATGAAAACAGACTAATACAGATGCTATTTAAATAATTGTTATGCTATATTGTTATTTGTTATATTTAACAAATAAAATACTATAATATTTAATATTGTAATATTTGCAATACTATAGTTTTAATAATTATTACAAAATAAAAATAGAATAAAATATAATTTTGAAATATTTTTAAAATATTCTTTAATATTTAATAGTTTTTATATAGTTTAATAGTTTTAAAATATTTTTTTATTTGAGGTTGGTTGGATGAGGAACCTGTAGATAGGAAGGGATGACTGTACTAACAGTAAATTCAAGAACAAGAAAAGATATGTAACAATTAAATATACGATTGACCAAAAATATATACAATTAACTTTTTTACACCAAATAATGTAGAATTGAAATATGCAAAACTAGGTATACAAGAAAGATTTAACAAATTCACAGTAATACTAGGGGATTATAACCCATACTTGTCAGAAAGCGACAGATCAAGTAGACAAAAAATAAGCAAACAAAGAATAAATTTGAATATGAGGTAACCTATCAAATACGATGAAATGCACACACACCACACTTCTTTGAAACCAAGAAACACAATACCACATAATATTTGCAAAAATTCACTGTGTATTTGGCCATTAAAACATCAAATAATTTCCCAAAGTAGAAAATCTCTGTAACTTTAAACTTTAATGCAGCAACACTAGACATTTTTAATAAAAGAATGACCCCCAGTAGGACTATTTACTTAAGAAAATGCCAAATAATAATAAATAAATTATAAACTTTTAGAAGAGAACAGAATAAAAGTAGCATGAAATGTAGCCAAAGTTATAGTCACAGGAAAATATTTAGATGTACAAGAATTTATTAAGGGAAATATTCCCATATCTTGTGTAAATTGACACCTGACTTCAAAATATATTTTGAATCTACTCATTCACAGTAATACTTGAATGAGTGGATACATAACTAAATATTAAATAAATGATCTATACAGACTTCTCTTATATAATCATTGATAAAAAGCACTGTACTGGGAGCCTAAAAACCTTGATTCTAGACTTGATTCATATTAATAACTTAGACTATATGACTGAACCTGTTACCTTTTCTGTATCTCAGATTCCATATCTGTAAAAGAGGGGTGTCAAAATACATCTTCTTTAGGTTTTTTTTCCAAATGTTAATATCTATATATAGTTGTTATATGTTCCATTAAATAATTTTTTAAATGATTAATAATTATACACTTTATTAAAATATGCCTGTTGCATTGTTTCATATTGTCATATAACAAAGTGAAACTTGGTCTGTGTTTGTGTGTAAATATGTTTGTTTCTACATTGGTCAGTGAAGAGATTTTGTGTGTGTGTGCGTGTGTGTGTGTGTGTGTGTGTGTGTGTGTGTGTGTGTGTGTGAGATGGAGTCTCACTTTGCTGACAAGGCTGGAGTGCAGTGGTGCAATTCTGGCTCACTGCAACCTCCACCTCCCGGGTTCAAGGGATTCTTCTGCCTCAGCCTCCCGAGTAGCTGGGACTATAGGCGCATGTCACCATGCCCAGCCAATTTTTGTACTTTTAGGAGAGACAGGGTTTGACCATATTGGCAAGGCTGGTATCAAACTCCTGACCTTGTGATCTGCCCGCCTCAGCCTCCCAAAGCACAGGAATTATAGGTGTGAGCCCTGCGCCTGGCTAGAGATTTTTAAGACTTCAATTGTCAAATGTAAATCACAGGTTAAACTAACTTAAAAAAGGGAAGATATGGTATTTTTAAATTCCTATGGCTCAAAATATCACTGTTCTCTGAAAGTTATCTAGACCTCAAGAATGAAAAACACAAACACGTGTACTGTCACTATGACAAAGGTGTCAAAAACATTTCCAATGTCAACTATATCACTTTTCCTTCTTTTCAAATTGATTAATTTGATTTTCTAAGTAGTGATATCTCTCTAATCTAACTAGATCACTTATTAGTAAGCTGTTTGGACTACCTTGATGCATTTTTCTTCAGTTCAGTTTAGCCATGGAAGACAGTCACACTTCTTCCCAACATGGCGTATGTGATGTCCAAACCCTCTACTGTTTCCTATGCAAAGTGGCTCTGGCTAACAAACACCTCTTGCTTCATGGCCAGAATTAGCTTCCTCCCTCCTTGTAATGATCATGAAATTAACCCTCATCCTGATTTCAATTCTCAACTTCCACCTCAAACCCTACCATCATCACCACCATCTTCCATCTTTTTTTGTGTGTGTGTGTCCTCAAGAAGAGGGGAAGATAGGACTGGAAAAAAATTGGAACACTTTCTTGGAAATTACCATGGTGGAAAGATACTGTAGAATATGAATTATTATAGTCACAAGCAACAGAAATAACCTCTCTGTTAAATATGGAACTGCTTTTGATCCTTTTATGGCCATTATATTTGTATTATTACCACTTAAGTTTTTATTTATTTATTTATTTTTTTTTTGAGACAGAGTCTCACTCTGTCGCCCAGGCTGGTGTGCAGTGGTGCAATCTCGGCTCACTGGAAACTCTGCCTCCTGGGTTCACGCCATTCTCCTGCCTCAGCCTCCCAAGTAGCTGGGACTACAGGTGCCCGCCACCACGCCCAGCTGATTTTTTTTGTATTTTTAGTAGAGACGGGGTTTCACCATGTTAGCCAGGCTGGTCTCAAACTCCTGACCTCGTGATCCGCCTGCCTCAGGCTCCCAAAGTGCTATATTAAACTAAATATTTAAAGTTTTATGTCATTGTGGCCATTCCTATTTTTTCAAACAAAATGAGTTCATTTACATTAATTACATATGCCAATCAAGTATAATTATGTAATATTTTCAAGAGTCAACAAATAAAAATTTAATCTTGTCTGAATCAGATATCACTAGATATTTTGAAGATGTAGATTTTTAGTAAGAAATAGTTTAGCAAAATGCGGAGAATGTTGAATCAGCATCATCTTTTAGTTTGCTAATAATAAAGTAATTATCTTATGGTTGGTAATTTAATTAGCACTTACTTTTTCAGTATCTACCACTGGTATTCAGTGACTAACTTAATAATATCAAGAAAACAATAAAAGTAATGCCACAACAGCAGAAAAGACAATAGGCTGTATTAGAAAAATATTTTAAAATTCATATTTTAATTTTAATAAAATCTAAATCAGTTTTGCAAGGATGTACAAGTAAAGTTAATGCTGCTGGGGAAAGATAATTATGGGTAGGCTATTCAAGAAAATGTCAGCTCTACGTTTTCCTTCACGTTAAAGATAATATTTCTGGCATTTTTTTTCTACCTCATTCATTCACCAGCAAACATTTATTGAATGATTTACTGAATGTATTGGGAATTACACTTGGTTAGTGGATTTCAAAGCCTTTTAGCAGTGAAACTATTACTGTGCAGATCAATGTATACAACAAGTAAAATTGGACCTACTTTAACCCTGAAACCAAGACAGCTGGACCCCAGGAGAAAGTCCGTGAAAACCTTTAAGGCTCCAAGGAATACACTTTATAAGCAATGAACTTGGTGTATGAAGACAAAGAGGAGCAGATCTCTGCCTTTCAGAAACATTTAACAAATAATAATATTAACATAATCCAATGATTCACTCATTTGTTCATTCAACAAATATATTTAAATGCCTACCATAAGTCAGCCATTATTTTCAATCTGAGGATATATCAGTAAACAAATTTGTTGCAGTCATGGCGTTTATGCTGCAGTGAATGAGAGTGGACAAAAACCAGCAAAACAATGACTCACATGAAGCAATAAGTGTGATGAAGAAAATTAAAGAGGATCAGAGGAAAATAAAGAGGAGTCTACTTTAGATAAGTGACCTTCAAGTAACAGCTTGCATTGAAGAAGATAGTGAACCATTTGGACATCAGTGGAAAGAACAATCCAGGTGGAGGAATCTGCAGGAGCACAAGTGGTGAGGCAAGAGTTTAAATGATGCAGTAAAAAAGAGCAGGGTTGCCAATAAGGATGGAGTGGGGAAACAAAGGGAGAATGGTGGGAAATCAGGTCGGCAAGATAGCCAAGGTCTGGATCATGCAGGATTATAAAGGCAACAATAAGTAGAGGTACCCCTCACTTTCCAAACTTTCTCGCTATAAAGTTAGAATGAAATACTTTTAAATAGCAAAAGATAATAATTTAAATTCTATGGCTAAGTATTATAGGAACCCATTGGAATGTTGAGAGCAGGAAAATGACAAAGTCTAATGTGCCAAACACTTCTGTGATTATCTTAATGTTCCCAATAACCCTAAGTAACCCTGTTTGATCCCTGTTTTATAGATGTAGATAAGGGAAAGAGTGGTTTACCCAAAGACACAAATCTTTTCAATTAGATGAAGAATTCAAACCCAAAGTTCAATCTCTAAACAGCTCTAACACCTAAATTAAGACAACATAACTGTTAAAACTGTTAAAATGCTATGCAAAATACACATACACAATGTATTGAGAGGAAATAGTGTTCAGTTGCCCCTGAGATGTCAGGTAGAAATGCTTCCTAAAGTAGTTGATATTTTATATTAGCTGTAGAGGATAAGTAGGAGTTCCTCAGGAGGGCAAAAAAGAACAGAACATTGTGAGTAAAGGAGGCAGTTAGAATAAAGTCATGGAATGGTAAAACATTTAGAAACTTTGAAGGGTAATTCATTTAGAAACTCACTCACTATTTTGTGTGGTCTGACCATGAGTTCTAAGGCAGGGGCATGGAAAGAGATGAGACAAAAAAGATTTTTGCTCAGGTGGCCCCACTACACCATGCTACAGGGTTTATATTGAAGTGCAAGACATGGGAGCCACTGAAGAGTTTTAAGAAAGACAATATCATGAACAGGTAAAATCTTTAGAAAGATCACTTTGACCTGACCAGAATGCAGATGGATGGAGGGTGGTGAGGTGCCATTACAGGAAGAAGGGGCCAGTGGGAGTTATTACCATAGTTTTATTCAAGTGAGAAATAAAGAGAATTTGAACAAAGGCAGAGGGAGATGGAGACATACTGTATAATGAAAATGGCTTGGTTACTAATTGGTAGTTGTTTGAGAAATAAAGCAAGAATGACTCTGAGCAGGCCACTTAATCACTTTTGTCTCCTCTCATTTATATAATGGCAATAATAATAGTGTTTATATATTAGTGTTCTGTGAGGATTAAATTAATAGTGACTGTTTATTGAGTTTCCACCATGTATTAGACTACACTTGGTACATATATTATCATGGATGAATGGCAGTGCCAATACCCAAGATAAGAATTACCAGAGGAAGAATAAATCTGCAGGGGAAGGGAAAGGATAAGTTTACTTTTAGATGTGATGAATCTGTGGAGCTATTCAGTGGACAGTAGGATAACACATGGATCGGGAGGGCTATCCGGCTGCCGATCTATGAAACAGGGACACATTAAGGTAGTGAGAGAATGAGCAGCATGGCCAGAAAAGAGTGTCAAGGTGAAACCCTGAGAAATACCATCACTTTGGTGTGGGCATTAGAGATTGACAGGAATGGCTGGAAAAGTAAGAGGAATACCATGAGAAAAGTATGTACCAGAAATTAAGAAAGTAGGGAGGTTCAGGTAAAAAGAGGGTCCACAGCATAAGTCCCAGGGACAGGTCAAGTGCAGTGCAATCTAGTGATGAGGAGTGGAAGCATAATTTGGAGAAGCTGAAGAGCAAATAGTAGCTGAGGAAGAAAAGGCAAAAAGGCAACATCTGCAAATAGGTCTTCCAATGAGGATGCCTGGAAGGAAAAGAGTGAGATCCACATGGTGATATCTAAAGTCATAAGGTTGAAGATGTGAGACTCGAGCATGTGACAGGTACTAGGGAATGAGCCAGCAGTGACAGAGTAAAACATGCAAGCAAGGGAGAGAGAGATAACTCTGGCACATGCCTTAGGCCTCAGAGGAGAGGGAGATGCTGGGATCAAGACGAGAGGTGGAAGATGAACCTTGAAAGGAAACGAGGCATGTTTTCTGAGACTGGGTGTAATTTTTAAAAGCCAAAAAAAAAAAATAGCCATAACATTTTCTCTCCAGAGAAAATTCTAGGCAGGTGCTTCCTTTATTTCTCACAATGTTGTGACAATACTCATCATAAAGTAGCTAATGAAAGACTGAATAAAACAGAAAAGGCGGATCAGTTAGAAACAAAATTATATGTAGTCCTTTTCACTTGCTTGTTTTGAATCTCTAAATAGGCTACATGTGCCGCAGTTTCTTCATCTATAAAATGGGGACAATAATATCTACCTCACAGTATTGTTGTGCCAGTTACTGGCAATATAAAGAGGGTGTCTAGAATAACATATGGTGAATATTCAGTAAATAAATGGTGCTTAAAATTACTTGAGCCCTCACAACAACCCTATGAATTAGTATACATGGAGAACAAAGGCACAAAGAGCTGAAGTGACCTGCCTGAGATCATTCAGCTGGTTTGTGGGAGCTACAAATTAGATCCAGCAGGCCAGTGCCAGGGTCCACTCTCTTAGCCATGACAAGAACTCCCTCCTTGACTAAATCATCCTACCCTTGATATTGAATCAAGTTCCTCTTAGTAATTTCTCATCCACTGACTCCCTCACTCTGCTCGTTGGCTATAAATCCCCAGCAGTCTTTGCTGTGTTCAGAGCTGGGTTAAATCTCTCCTATCACAAGAATCTTAAAGTCTTCCTTACCATTGTTAATAAATGTCGGGTGCAAAGTTTTTCTTTTACAATCACTGTGCTGTATTACCTATGAAACATGATTAAACAGGAATTGCATTGTAATGCCATTAAACTCAATAGAAATGCGACATAACACAGCAGTTAGGGGTAAGCGCCTAGAGCAGGCCTTTGTAGGTTTGAATGTGGCTCTGCTACTTCCTAGTAAAGCTTTAGGAAAGTTTTATGAACTTAGGAAAGTTGCCTATGTTCTCTGCTTTGCTGGCCTGTAAAATGAAGGTAACAATAGTACCTACTTCACAGATAATTTTGTCAAAATTAAATGTAGGCATCATATATTAAGTTCTTTAAAGTTATTAGCTATTTTTTAGCTATCATCAAGAAACATATTGCTATACAATATTAAATGAAGTAAACCCTGATCACTCTATTTAATTCTGCATACTATCCTCAAATTCCAGCAACTCCAAGTCCCCATTATCATGCTGTATATTTCTGTAGCACTTACCATTTAGCCTACTGTATAATTTACTTATGTTTATTGTTATTTTTTGCCTCTTCTTTCAGAATGTAAATTTCCCAAGAGGAAGAATTTACTATGCCCTACCTATGGGAGGCACTCAAGCAGTATTTGTTGATTGGATTAATTTAATATTGGTGTTTAAGGAAAAGCAGGTGAAGGAAATGACAGAAGACATGAGTAGATTCTGAAGAGTATTTCACACTGTCAGGGATGAAGCAATAGCTCACGTGCATACTCAATTTTCCTTTCAACTATTGACTTTCTTTTCCCTAGACAGAGATGTGTCAGTTGTAGGGTTATTTTCTGACTTGATAGTAGAATGAATAATTGACCAAAGAAATAAAAGAAAGGAGGAGGAGAGAGGTGTATCTGAGAAAGACTAAGTGAGAGTGGGTGGGTGTGTGGCAGGATTAGGTTGGAGGATTAAAAGTCAGAGGGGTCGGGTGCAAGAGATCATGTCTGTAATCCCAACGGTTTGGGAGGCCAAGACAGGAGGATTGCTTAAGGCCAGGAGTTTGAGTTGAGCCTCAGCAACATAGTAAGACCCCATTTCAACAAAGAAAAAATTAAAAATATTAGTCGAGAGTAGTTGAATGTATCTGTAGTCCCAGCTACTAGGGAGGCTGAGGCAGGAGGATCACTTGAGCCCAGAGGGTTGAGGCTGTGGTGAGCCATGATTATGCCACTGCGTGCCACCTTGAGTGACAGAGTGAAGTCCTGTATTAAAAAAAATAAATGAAATAAAATAAAATAAAAGTCAGAAGGAAGCCTAGGAGTGGTCAGGAGTTCTTGGCCGCAACAGTTCCTTTATGGCTGCCAGATCCCATGATCTAACTATTATGGTGCCTAAAAGGCACAAAAGGGGAAAAGACTAGGGCAGAACATGCGGACATGATTTAATGAGTGATAAATTTTCCTGATATATCTATAGTGTTTCTCAACTTTTTTCATTATCACTACTAAGTAGCCTACTTACACATTTTTCCCTAACTGTTCCCACCCCTCCCCCTATGAAATTCTATGAAAGACAGATATACTATAGCTCTCTTCATATTAATGGGTAGCACTGACCTTTGGAGGGCCACTATCTATTGTAATACCTAAGATTTTTCCTTCACCCACTAAGTAGCAACGTTCTGCTTCCTTGAAAACAATATTGCCCCCATTAAGAAAGCATGCTTTAGAGCCACAGGTTTTTAAAATAGGTATCATTTGTTTTAATTTATAGATTAAATCAGCGTTTCTCAACCTCAGTAGCATTGACATTTTGGATCTGATAATTCTGTATTGTGGAGAATTTGCCCTGTACATTGTGAGATGCTGAGCAGTATTCCTGGTCTTTATCCCCTAGATGCTACAGTAGCACACCTGCCTTGGTCAGGCAAACAAAAATATCTCTAGACATTGTCAAATATCCCCCCTTTACAGGTGGAGGTGGGATAAAATTGTCCCTGGTGGAGAACTCCTGGGTTAAATGAATGAACATAAATGAATTCCATTATTTTCCCAAGGACACAGCAAAATAAGAAAACTCTCCACTATAGACTAGTAGTTTTTCTATTGCTCAAAATTTTCCTCAAGAAGAATAAATACTGGGCCATCCATAGCAAAAGTCTCAGAGAAATGTTTTATCTTGCCAAATGATTATTTTCTATAAAGCTAATAATCTTCCGTTTTATAACTCAGTACAAGTCATCTTGTTTTTCTCATAAATTTTATTCTGAATACCTGGCCTGGCTTTTAATAAAAAGGTTAAAAAAAAATATATATATATATATACACACACACACACACACACACACACATTTGAATGTTATATATAAATAAATGTATGTATTTGAATGTTATATTTAAATGTATACATATTTGAGTATATATATATTTGAATATTTTTATTACAATCTTCCATCTATATTTATGTCTTTTAAGTAAACTATGTAAAATTTCCAAGATTTCAGTAGACTAAATATACTAAAATTATACCTTTTACTCAGAGAAAGCAAATATGAAAAAATGAGAATTTACAGTAGCTATAATATGTAAGAAAACAAATCTATGAAGACAGCTGATAATTATTCTTTGCTGTGTTTCATGTTATAGATATATCTATCATGCTATAGAATTACAAACAGCTCTGCAGTTAACTATTATTATCTCCATTTCACAGATAGGAAAATCGTTCAGAGATGATAAAATAAATTGCCTAGGATCTGTCACACAGAAGGTGGCAGGATTTTGATTGAATTCAGCCTTATTCAGCTCCAAAAATTTCTGCTCAGTCCATACCAGACTTTTTGACTCAGTTTTCCTCCTAAATATTTTTTTTCTTTTTCTTCACTGTAATACATTCCACAAATGATGGAAAAGAACTTCATGTTACCTGTAAAGGATGTTTTGAAGAGCTGAGGCCTCCTTTCAACATGAGAGATGCCAGTTTATTGATGCTTTAGATAAATCTCTCTTATGTTAAATCTACTAAAGCAAGCAAAAGGCAAAGACCAACCTTATCTCCATCAACAATAAATCTCCAGGGTAGTCTTTTATAACTTTTGATGTTTAATACTAAAGCAAAACAGGGTCTATGTCTTTTTATAAGTTCTACACATCCAGAGAACCATTAAAATCAGCACCATGACTCAGATTTTACTTAAGCATAAACAAACAAACTTGTCCCAGCCTGGTGACAAGTTTTAAGCCCAATCCTAGCTCTTCAACAATTAGCAGTGTGATGTTGACCAACGGCTTTTTCTTCCTGAGCCATAAGCAAAACAAAATGGATTCCAGCAGATTGCCAGACTCAAAGGCTTTCAGAGTTATTTGAAACCTGAGAAAAACTGGAGAGTCAAGTCTTTTTAAAATACGTTTACATTTAATTTTTTCTTTAAACAAAATGAGGTGGAGCTGAACGTTTGGGCCCTTGAGTTGAGCTTAGGCAAAAGACCTCTGAATTAGGTATCTGGAAGGTCCCTTCCAAGTTTGGTATTCTATTAATTGAGTTTTGTTTTTTTGTTTTTTTTTTTCTCTTAAGAAGCTTATGTTGGGGCCAGGCATGGTGGCTCACACCTGTCATCGCAGCACTTTGAGAGGCCAAGTCGGGCAGATCACTTGAGGTCAGGAGTTCAAGACCAGCCTGGCCACATGGTGAAACCCCATCTCTACTAAAAATACAAAAATATTAGCCAGGCATGGTAGTGCAACATCTGCAATCCCAGCTACTCAGGAGGCTGAGGCAGGAGAATTGCTTGAACCCAGGAGCCGGAGGTTGCAGTGAGCTGAGACCGTGCCACTGCACTCCAGCCTGGGCAAAAGAGCAACACTCTGTCTCAAAAAAACAAAAACAAACAAACAAAAAAAGGAAGCTTATGTTCTAACCAAAAGCATAAGTGTAAAAATGTCCTTTATTTGATTAAAGGAACGTACACTTGTCAGTCTGAATTGTGCTGTAGTGTGGTATTAATTACATGATCTAAAGTCTTAGTACCTAGAGTATTGTGGCCTCTTAGACCTGAGGGTTTGTCAGAAATACTTCATCCCCAAGCCACAGTCTGCATTATAACAAGATTATCTGGTGATTTTAATGTACATTAAAGCTCGAGAAGCCAGGTCAAATTAGTGTTTCTCCAAGTTTGGATTGCTTACAAAAGACTCACCTTAGTGGGGCACATAATAAAGACGCAGATACTAGAGCCTACTAAAGAGTCACCAAATCAGGATCTCTGAATATGGAGTCAGGAATCATTATTAATAAGCAGCCCAGATGATGCTCACACACAATAATATTTGAGAAACACCATTTAACATAGTTCAGAGATCTGAGAGTCTCTTGGTAAGTTAGAAAAAGACACAGAAAAGGCTATGAGTTTTTAAATAGAATATTGAATATTGGAATATTGCTTTCAACATTCAAGAAACTAGGGCCACTTGGAGCTAATTATCAAAAACAAGCAATTAAGTAGAGGTTCGCTGCAGGGGAGGGTGGTTGCCTGAATCACTTGGATACAGTTTGTCCCAGAAGTTAATAAGAAGGACTCCCAGGGGAGTTATAAAAGACAATATTTCAACTTGAGACCTGGAAGATAAGACCACTGAAAGAAACCTTCCAGTGACCAGAGATATATTTATCTTCCTGCCTGAGGCACTCACCAATTATGTGCACTATAAATGCAAGTTGGCCTTCCTGCTAGAAGAAGCTCAAGGGTCGAGGAATGTCTTTCTATGTTCTGGTTTATTAGAAACAAGTTCTTAGAAAAACTTGTGAGCAAAAACTCACAAGCAAAATGGGAAAGAAAAAAAAAACTCCAGGGATATAGTATGGAATTAAAACAAGCATCCAAGTTCTGGAGAGTAGAAGATTATGAAAAAGAGGAAAAAAAAAAAGATAAATTCTACACACCCTCTACTCCAGTGTGGTTCATGAACCAGCAGCATCAGCTTTTCCTGTGAGCTTATTTGGAATGTAAACTCTCAGGCCCCCACTTAAAGACACCCCAGAAAATGAATCTGCATCTTAGGAAGATCCAATGGTGATCTGTATGTGCTACATCATATCAGTGGTTCTCGAAATTGGTTGCAAATTATAATCACCTTAGAATCTTTTAAAAAATTGAATTCCTAAAATTTTGTACTCCAGAATCTCTGGGAATGGATCTCAGCCATCAGCAGTTCTCTAAAGTCCTCTATATGTAGCTAAGGTTAAAGACCACTGTTCTATTATTTATCTTTGGATTCATGAAGTTACATTACAGGTATAAGACTTTCTCAAAGAAGGTTGCCACTTACCTTTTTGATTAAATTATAACATTCTATGTGACAAAAAACTTGAAGTTACTAGATCAACAGAATACTGGGAGATGGTCTAGCGAACTGCTGTTAAATACAGGGAAGGCATCACGTATTGATGTATATTTGACAGCTAATAGAGAAGTTTGCTCTCTTCCTGCCCAAATGTATCAAACCCACCTGATACTCACTCATCAATTCTGCTAACCCTCTGAGAATAAGTGGAAAAACCTAAAGAAGTCTAAAATGCCCCTCTAACCGCTTAAGTATTGTGAGAATATGCAGTATTTGCATCTCTTCTTGTAGTTAAAGGTCATGACATTATAAGACAACCAAGGATTTGAGATGTGAGTGTGTTTTAATAATCACATAATCTTGAGTCTAAGTTAAAAGGTCTCTGTTCAAATCTACAACACACATTTTAACTACGTGTACAATGAACACACACTGACACTTTTACGGGTGGGAAAGCATCTTTTAAACATGTGAATTCTTGTGGTAATTCCAGTGTCTTCTTATAGTAGAAGCAACTTATAATTCAAATATTTGAGATCATAAAATAGACATTCAGCAGGATCGCTTAAACTGTAATATAGAAGAGAAGGGAAAAAAGCTCAAATAAAACAATACAATGGGATGTTATGAATACATATATAGCCCGGAAAGAATAATTTGGAGGAAGAACTCATCCATTCTCAGTCATAACTAACTTGAAGTTATGGCTTAAGTCTGATACAATACTTAAAACTTTAAAGAGAGTGAATATTTATACAATATGAATAATTAATAAAATTGGGTTCAAAACAATATATTTAGTAAACAAATTCTCATTGGTTTCTCTAAGACATTGGTTAGAACTCATGACAATACAGTAATAACAAGGCAGGCCACCGTGAAAAAAATGCTGTGTGACATGTAGAAGACATGAACTGAAATCTGCAAACCTGAGGGGAGAGCATGGAGAGAGCATGTGTGTAAGAATTAAGACACTGCAACACATTTTGCTTGTGGTCCTGACAATACAATAAATTTTTAAAATAAAAAATAAATAATTATAAAAGAATAAAGATAGATACAAAAAGTTTTAGTACACAGCAGACTGAACTGGAATCAACTATTTATTATATTACTCAACAAATATATTGAACAATAATTAGATATTGCACTATGCACTGAGGCTACAGACAGATGAAAGATGGCTAAACAAGAGTTTATGTAAATACTGCTTTCCTAATAGTGAAGAGAAAATGAACTCAGAAACATACAGAAAGTCTTTAACTACCTGGATATTCTCACACAGTTAAGAGTAGGGGATATGATAAATGTTCTACTTGACTAGTTGACAATCTCTCAGGAGGTTGAAAAAGCAATGAAATGACAGGTTTCTCTCTCAACACCATTCTGCCTCAATGGAAGAAATGGCTGATTAAGGAAATCATTGAGACCTTGGGAAAAAATGACACCATTATACAGGATATTAAGTAGTTGTGTATAACATCAAGAAAGTAAAGTTCAAAAATCGCAGGGAAAAAAAAACAGAAAAAAAATGTCAAGGGAAAGATTTAAGATTTTCCAGACCATGTCTTGAGTACTGAAATAGGCATATTCCTATCAAGAGATGGTATACATGTCACAAAATGAATAAGAACATACAAGACAAGAAATTCAACAAACAAATTAAAATCCTGAAATACTAAAATACTGAAAACCAAAATTTGATGGAGAAAAAGAAAAGTACCTAGCAGAAAGCCCATGGGACATTAGGGATGAAAATGAACGTGGGAAAAACAACAAGAAACAATTAATTGCTTAGGGATTCTCTATATTGTGATCAAAATGTCCTTCTTAATATGCAAAGCTGGTAAGTAACATATCTGAGGAAAGTTCTTAAAGGGCTCACCATCCCTCCCCAGTTCCCTTTATTCAGAATATATGGATACTTGTATTATCCCTGAATATGCTGTGATGTCAGTTCCATTCTCTCTGAAAAAGAGAAATTGGTGCCTATCATATTTAACTATGAGATGCACCTTCATCAAAAATGCTTAACAACTTTGCTTTAAGGAGAGTGTCTTTTTATCTATCCATACTTGATTAACCCACACAAAAGCCAATCTACTATATATTTTTTCCCAGATAGGATTTACATGCACTTCAGAAAATATTTTGAGAAATGTTACTGTAAGAGATGAAGGAAACCAGGCATTTTAAATTCAGTTACAATTGAAATATGAAAAGAAATTGAACTTATATTAGCTTCTAAGAGTAGAGTAGGCAGAATGAGTTTTTACAGCTTTCATTTGAAAGGAATAACACATTGAGTTGTCATTCCTTAAAATTATTCACTCACCTGTCTGTAGCCTTTTATATGAATTGGCAATACATATTAAACCATCTAAATTTTAATATATTTTAAAGTGTGACACTACATATTTAGAGTAAAATAGCCACATTTCATCCCAATTTAATAGTAAAAGGTAAAAAAAAATTGTTCTCTGCAATATGTAGAGGTCGCCTCACAATAATGGTAAGTGAAATACCAACTTTTAGATTCTATAGATCAATTCCTAAAATGTACATCATTCAGAATTGATCATCCTCTTACATAAAATGGTAAATAGTATTTTATTATCGTTTAACTTCAGTAGTGTCCAGTGCCACTAGAAAAATATTTTAATCTTACTTTCAACCATGCATTCACAAATTCCAAAAATGATTCCTCTAAACTTCAAATATGTTTGGCTGACCAACGTTCTTTTAAACAATAAAATTTACATTCAGTCTACTTACATTAGTAACTGTTTCATTTGGCAACTAATTGACTAAATTCAACTCTCTTCCTATCACTGTCAAGATAAAAAGTATCGGAATTTTCCTTGAAAATTTTTAGAGAAAATAAAATCCTAAGAACATCTAAGACAGCAAAAGGAAAAATGCATGACATCATGCACATAGTTTATTTTAAATTCTACCTGCACTACTTTTGTTCGTCTGTTTGTTTTTTTGAGACACAGTCTCACTCTGTAGCCCAGAGATCTTGGCTTACTGCAAGCTCCGCCTCCTGGGTTCACGCCATTCTCCTGCCTCTGCCTCCTGAGTAGCTGGGACTATAGGCACACGCCACCACCCCCGGCTAATTTTTTTTTTTTTTTTTTTTTTTTTTTTTTTTTTTTTTGGATTTTTAGTAGAGACGGGGTTTCACCGTCTTAGCCAGGATGGTCTCGATCTCCTGACCTCGTGATCGCCCGCCTCGGCCTCCCAAAGCGCTGGGATTACAGGCGTGAGCCACAGCGCCTGGCCTGCACTAGTGTTTTCAAAGCTGAACTACTATAACTTCTATTTATAACAATATGTGTATATTTAATGATAAGTTTAAAATGTAACCCCAAATGAAATTTTAAAAGATTTTTTAAGAAAAAATAAATTGATCTGCATGTACCCCATTCTTAGATTTACTTAGACCAGTGGTAGATCATTTAAATATCCTCAGAGGACAAATCAAGTAAATTCTGACAGACATTTTTCCCCAAGATTAAATAGTATTTAGCAACCAGAGACATTTTTTTAACTCCCTCAAAAAAAAAAAAAAAAAAAAAAATACGATTCCATTCTTTTTGAAACCTGAGGGGGTTTGGTTTCGTTTTGCTTTGGGTTTTTTTGTGAGTGTGCATCTTTAATTTTTTCACTTTTAATAAATATGGCTACAGATACCTTCCTTTCAAACTCTCTATAAGAAAAAGAACAGTGCAAGAACAATAAATATAATAATGGGAAACTAATCAGGGAGATTAGGAGGACATGGTAAATGGGAGATTTGCCATATAATTTATATAATGACATCTACTATTTGGCGCTAACCCTTTCCTATTGAGGGCTGTGGAGCAATGTTGTCAAATCCTCTGATTTTTCTAAAAAAAAATTACCAATATTTATATGAATTATTCTGGCTTTCAAGTCTTTGCTACTTTGGGTCATGGGGCTTCTCTGCCTTCTGGGCACAGGCTGGGATGGCACAGCCTGGCCCTTAGTGATGAGACAGGGTCATGTGACTAATTCTGGTCAATGATTTGTAAATTAGATCTTAATTGTGAATGTACAACCTTCTAAAGTTTCTTCCTCTCAGCTATGGTAACTGATATTCCAGGCCAGTCGCTGCTTTATCAAGCCAGATCTAAAGTGAAGACAATTCAGTGCAATTGTCCTCACATAATAAATGTATAACATGAGTAAGAAATAAAATGTTATTTTAAACTGCTGAGATGTGTGTGGGTATGTGTTATTGTAAAACACTTATCCTGGCTGATAAGCATTTTAACTTAACTAAAAACAAAAATATAACACTATGTGTGCTAACACAAACCCACACACCAATGTGGATTTGAATGTACCCAAGGACTGTCACTCTAAATCACAATGAGTATACTTAATACGAGAGCTTTTGTCCTTTGCATTCAATAAACAAAAAGTAAAATATTAGACTGCCACATAGAACATATAATCCTGGCATTAATTTTTGAAGAAAGTGGGGGAAGAGGAGAGTAGAAGAATGAGAGGAAGGAAGAAGAGGAAGAAGAGAATAACAGAATGAAACAGAGTATATACAATTTTTAAAAATGTAATAAGGTGATTAGACATGGTGAGTATTCTAAAACAGTCAACTCTGTTCAGAAGTCCATGTGGACACCCATCTTACCTTCCATAATTCCCTTTTCCAAATATACCTAGAGCCTTTCTGAAGCTTTCTAGATCCCCTCACAGCCTAGGTTTTAAACGTTTCTGCCCCTCCACTAAAGCCTTAGTTCACCTTTGAGCAATTCACAAGACCTGTTAGCAATTTACAATACCTTTATATTGTTTAGAGTCAATATATTCATGGCTATCAATATATTGCTCCTTTTTTACAACAGTATTTTCAAATATTGCCTGTCTGTACAGAACATGAACAAAAGTTATTTGAAAAGAAATTTGGGTCTGGCGTGGTGGCTCACGCCTGTAATCCCAACACTTTGGGAAGCTGAGGCAGGCAGATGCCTTGAGCCCAGGAGTCTGAGACCAGCCTGGACAACATGGCAAAACTCCATCTCTACTAAAAATACAAAAATTAACCAGAGGTGCTGGCATGTGCCTGTAGCCCCCGATACTTGGGCGGCTAAGAGGCAGGATAATCCCTCGAGTCCAGAA
Source organism: Homo sapiens (assembly GCF_000001405.40). Classification (NCBI taxonomy): domain Eukaryota; kingdom Metazoa; phylum Chordata; class Mammalia; order Primates; family Hominidae; genus Homo; species Homo sapiens. The sequence goes on along the minus strand of NC_000003.12, from coordinate 168,436,793 downwards.
GATGGAACTTACAGTGAGCCGAGACAGCACCACAGCACTTTAGCCTGGGTGTGGGAGAGAAACCCAGTCTCCAAAACAATAACAACAACAATGGAATTTGGAGGAAAGAGGCTTTATTCCAGTGAAGTCTGCAAACCCAAAAGAGGCAGCAGCCATCAGGGAAAGAGGAAGGTACATTCTAGAGAACATAGAGAGGGTTCCAGTTTTACAGCAAATGTTCCTGCCCAGATTCCCAATCCGTTGAAACTCACTTAGTTCTGATTGGTCAATATAGCTGAGCTCTGATTGGCAGTGACCTGTGATTGGTTGGTTTGTGAGCCCCAAACCAGAAGTCTCTGTGAGATGTTTCTTTCAAATGCCCCAGTGTATGTGTGTTGAGGGAGGAAGGAGGGGGGTGTTCCAGCCACAGTTTATCTTGGTATCAACAGGAATTGGTTTGGCTTGATTGTATCTGGCTTCTGAACAAGCTTGAATGTTTTAGAATATTCACCAGGTCCAATCACCTTAATAAATTTTTTATTTTGTGCACTTTGTTTCATTCTGTTATTCTTCTTTTCTTCCTTTTCTCTCTTCCTCTCTTTTGCTCCTTCTCTTCCCCTTCCTTCTTAAAAAATGAATGCCAGGATTATATGTTCCATGTGGCAAGCTAATACAGGAAGTCCTGTGGTACTTTTACAACACGGTTCTAAGAATCCAGAGTATGTCACCACTCCCTCAGCAAGCTGTGGCCACCTGGTTCTGTTTTAACTTTTAGGGGGTTTATTTTGTCTGTCAGTCAGGGACACACTTTAACAAAATTCTTCAACTGGAGAAGCAGAAGTCTATAGCTCAGTCATTGAAGGTACAGATTCTAGAGGTAGACTGAGTTCAAATACTTATAGTGTGTGGCATTGGGAAAGTAATGATATGCTACTTTACCCATGTATTCTCATCTGCAAATTAAAGAAAATAAGAATATATACCCTATCAGGTTCTCTTAAGCACTTAGAACAGTGCCTGGCACATAATAGGTGCCATATACGTGTTTGTTAAGTAAATGAGTAAATAAATAAATAAATAAATAAATAAATAAATAAATAAATGTGGGGAATATTAGGCTTCAGATTGCTGTGAAATATTGCCCAAGAGTTGGCAGGGCAAGAGCAGTGTGGGCAAAAAAGGTTTCAGTAACTGTCAACATTCTTCAAGTCTCACCATGTACTACTTTCATAGCCTGATATTCAACTTATTCATTATTATCAGCAATAAGAGTCAGGGTCCCTGCTGCTGCTGCTGTTACTGCTGCTGGTGGTGGTGTGTAATCTTAGTGAATATTCCTACATCAAGCTTACATGATTGGTGGTAAGAACTGAATTGCTGACAGCCATTTTCATTACATTACAACAGGTTAAAAACAGTATTTAACAATAATACCTGAAAGGAGGGGGAAAAAAAAACCTACTCAGAAGCTAAACAAGACTGTCTGTTGCTTGCTATTGTCAATATACTTGAAAAGCTATAGCTCAACCCTCCAAAAGCCTCGCCTCAGAGCTTAAGCTCCAGTGAAAAGAAAAAACATGTCATTTCAGCAAGTCTTTGCTCTTAACTTAGAAAATGACTTGGCTTTTCAGCTTATCTCTTTTTATATAGTCAAGCATAAAATTTATGGGATACATTTCATCAAAAGACTGCTTCTTCATAAAATATTTTTCCCAGTATATTTTGTATCACACAATACTCCATAAAAGTGCAAATTTGTGTTGACTGTTTCTATACCCAGTTGTATTTACAGACTTCCAGTAGGAAATCATCAACAAAAAGCAACTCAAGAAGCTGCCCACTTGCTCCTTGCTCTTCCCCAAATGCCTTTGTTTCTCAGTGTGCTTGTTGCTGTTGTTTGGTATACTGATTATGGTTGTTTATATACTGTGGGTATCCATAAAGGGTGGTTCAGAAATTTATGAAATAAATCTGCGCTTTCAAATCATACCTTTTATTGGTTCTCTCTTTTTCAAGCGGAGGATGGAGTGGTATACAAACCAACTTAGAGGAATGCTTGATTTTTCTTACAGATTTCAAAAATTTTTTTCCAAGATTAAGAGTATCGAGGGGGTAATCTCAAGAAACATTTTATAAATATTGAAGGAAACAGTTCTCAGTCTATAGAAATTATCAGAATTGAAAATGACTTCAGAAGTTCAAAACAGAAACCTCTGAAACAAATTACAAAATAGTCATTCAGTATATTACATTTTATGAAGATGTCTTTCATACCCATATATGAATCTTATTTATATCCTGGAATAAACAATGTCTCATTGTAAAATTTACTACTTTATATCTTTTGCTTTAATTTCCTCCAGTCTTGACCTTATTGGCAATGTCTGAGGTGACCTGTAGGCTTGAAAATCTATTCATATTTCTTCAAAATACTGTATTTTGAAACAAAAAAACAGTAACTTCAGTGTGCTAACTACTTCTGATCCTTACAATACCACAGTTGTTTCTCTTTGCTTTATGAAATAGATTTCCATTTAGTGTCTGAAATCTTTACAAATGTCTTTAAAGAAGAAACTCCTTAGAGATTAAAAACATGGGAAATATGTTTTTGATGATAAACACTAAATTATATAATCACCAATGTAATGGTTTTCTATTCATATGAAACGCTGTATGAAATATTAAAAAAGCTAAACATTTTCTTATTTTTCTATACTCCTTTATGTTAATCAATATCCAAATCAAAGACCTTTCATGTTACCAATCAAAACTCAAATGTAAAAAAAAAGTGCATTGAAAAGTTGTATTAACTGATTAAGAGACTTGTAATACATTTTTGGTATTAGATGTTAACTATAATTTTTATGCAGAATATCACATTTTATGTGTACAAACAAGAACCTCTTTTGGCTAAAAGGCATTCACTCTCTCATTCAACATTCAACAGGAGAGCCCTATTAATTATTCCTCCAAACTGCAAATACATTCATTTGAATGAGAGAAATCAGAAGCCCCATGGGGTTCCAAAATAAAGGCTATTTTCCTTACAACAGAAGTAGATGTTTAAAGAAGTGATTCTAGAACTACGTGTGTGAGGAAAAAATGATATGCAGGGGTTGAATTCCCATTTCGCCCCCAATCTCCTTCCTTTTTAAAAGTCTAATAAATTCAATTGTTTAAAGGGAGAGTCAGAAGAAACTTACAGAAAGCTTGGAAATGTATTTGGACTTTTCTTTAGTGGTTAAGCAATAACTATTACAGAGGCAAATGTTTCATTTCCCATTATATCCTTTCGCAAACAGTCACCTGCAGAGCTGCACAGAATAATAAGGTCCCAGCATGAAGACTAGGCACACACAGATCTCTCACTAGCCATAGAGTGAGATCAAGTCCTGTGGCCTCTGGAGATCAGTCTAAGCATTTATCCTTGCCAAAACTAAGGCAAAACAGCAAGAATAACTGTGAGAACCAAAAAGAAAAGCAAGCTAGCAGTTGGCATGAAAATAGGTGTAAGAAAAGGGCATTAGAATAAGAGTGCCACCAGTTATTGCATATCAAGTATTTAATACTGTCTCTGGCTCTAGATATGGAAGAAGTAGGGTCAGATGAAACACAGAGAACCTGAAACATAAGATCCGAGAGTTCTTGGAATATTTACAGCATATAGAACTCATGCATTCATTCAACATATTATTTAGTGCTTACCAATGTACAGAGTGCACAGATGGCAAAGGTAAAACAGAAATAGTTCCATAACTCAAAGAACTAACAATCAGTTGAGAAAGTTGAGCCAGTAAAGGGACACTTAAAATATAGCCCAATACTATTTATAGTGAAATAAAGTAGAAGATGCTTAAAGAGTCCAATGTATCAAACTGAGATTACTGAAAGTTCTTTTGAAAGAATCAAGTTATCTTGAATAACTAAAAGATAACTGCAGTTTTAATAAAATGTTGATTTGCTACAAAAATAATTGTAGTAGAATTTAACCAAACCACAAAGTGGCCTGAGGGCAGGACAGTATGGGGAGAGGTAACTAATGTTAAGACATGAAGGTGAAAATACCTACAGCTCATCTGAGAACTTTTAGAGATTTTGATATGTCTGTACACAGGATGAAAACAAAAAGAAGCTTGAGAGATCATTAGGGTCAGATTGTGAAAGGTTTGGTGAACCAAGCCCAGAAGTTTGCATTTTATTCTGCAGATTACTCGGAATCATTGAGATATTTTAGACAGGGGAGTGATATGCATAGATCTGTGTTTCAGAGCAATCCTTCTGGCAGGCTCAGGAAGAATAGATGGAAGAGGAAGGGAATGATCTACAGAGTGACAAGAGGCCAGTGCACAGAGAAGACGAGAGCTTAAACTAAGGCAATGTCAGTGAGAGTGGAGAAGAAGTAACAGATTCATGATATGTTTAGGAAACTGAATCAATAGGGTTTGGTGATGAATTGGATAAGGAAAGGAATGAGCCTCATATGGCTATTGGATTTCTTATTAGGATGTGTCATTCGCATAGTATAATATATAGGAGGAGGAGCACATTAGAATGGAGGCAAATAAAAAATTGATTTAGAAGTCCCTGTAGGATATTAAAAAAGACCTATCTGGTAAAGAGCATTTAGATACAGAGATTTAAAGTCCATAGAAATAGTCTGAGTTAAAGATATGCATTTGGTTGGCATTATAAACCCTGGATTTATATAAAAACATGACAGAGAATATGAACATAAGAAAAGCAGATGGCCTAAAATTGAGACAAATGAAACAAGACCATTTGAAGACAGATGCTTGTGTCTGGGATGCAGGGATATAGGTATATCATGAAGCCAGCTCTAAGATCAAAATGGCACGAAAGGGTAAAACACAGCAATACGGTATGATGCATAGATACCTAGGTATATATTCACATTAAAACTTGCACATAAATGTTTATAGCATCATTGTTCATAGTAACCAAAAAGTGAAAACAACCCAAATGTCTATCAACTGATATACTGACAAGTAAAATGTGGTGTTTCCATACAATGGAATATTAAAGGAATGAAGTATTGAAACCCATGCTACAATATGGATGAACCTGGAAACATTTTGCTAAGTGAAAGACGTCAGTCACATTCATAAGATTCCATTTATACAACACACCCAGAATAGGCAAATCTATAAAAATAGAAAGAAGTTTTGTGGTTGCCTAGAGCTGGGGGGATGGAGGAAGCGGAGAGTGAAGGCTAAAGAACATACAAGGTTTCTTCTTGGGATGATGAAAATATTCTAAAATTGATTGTGGTGATGTTTATACAACTATGAAAATACCAAAAGTGATTGAATTGCACACTTCAAATGAATAAACTGTATGATATTTGAATTATATCGCAATAAAGCTGTTAAAAATGGCATGAAAGGACACTTGAAAACATAGATATGATAAATGCTAGTAAATAGGCTTCAAAGTTATTAAAATTTCTCAAAAGTTTATCTAAAGAAATATTATCTTTCCACTGCAATACATATTAGAAGGCCATCAGTAGCAGGTAAATATCAGAGGTAGGGAAATAAAGGAGCCTAATCGGTCCAGTGAAGATTCCCTACCTCTTTAGTGAAAGCAAAATTCAAAGAGTAGGACAGAAGCTACTTGAAGATGCATTTATGTAGTACAAGTAACATTTTTAATCAACTTAGGTTATTTCACATGTAAATGTAAAACATTTCACAGATTAGCCTTTGCATGTTTGTATATACTATCTTATGTGGAGAAAACCCACACTAGGAGACTGTTCATTTCTTAGGCTCCCTATCATGTCCTTTCTTCCTTCACAACTCTATTGCTGCTGAAAGGAATGAAGAAAACGTGATCAATTCCTAGTGAAACAGGCCTAGTTTACAAATTTACTTTTCAAGATTTTTGTAAGGAAAATTATGAAGCATTTAACAGAGTTGCCAGTCAAACAGCTTTCTTTTTTGGCTCTGTCCAGTTGCTTCACTCTTCTCCTTTCCCAAAAGAACTTGGTTCCTCCTCACATCTCCATAACTTTACTCATGATCACCATCCCCTCCACATGTCCTCCCTCCCCTGCTCCCTCCCTCTCCATATTCCACAGCTCTTAAGGAGCCAACTAACAAAGTTCATCCCATCTCTTAAGTTTAGGGCCCACAGAAATTTCTCCTTTTACCAAACTTCTGTTGCACATATAGGTATAATCTCACAACTTGGTGTTCTCTAACTTAATGTGTATGTTCTGCCTTCTTAATCAGAAAGTAAGTGACTCAACAGAGGACAGCATGTTTCTCTATGTTCTCTATGGTGTCTAGCACAATGTTGCCAAAGTAACATACTCTCATTAAATACCTGCTGACTGCATAAAACAAAAGAACATGTAAAGAATTATTAATGTTCCAAAATTATTTCCTAAACATGTTAAAAATCATTGATAAATGTATCAGAATGCATTCTTTCTCTGCGCTTGATGAAAAGTTTCATAACCCTAATATGTGCTGAGAGTTTGTCAAGTTCTATGTACACATTATCTGAGTATAGTCCTATAACAGTCCTAGGAGGTGGTTACTCATTATCTTCACCCTGCAGATGAAAAAAGTATTGTTTAATAATTTGTTCAAGTTCACAAGGGTTTCCCCTGATTAAATCAAATAAATTTGTTAGAATATTTGTTCTTTGTGCCTTCCAATTTTGGCCGAAGCATTTCTAATGAAATACTGAAAGATACAATGGTTCAGAGTCAGGAAAACCTGCATTTAAATAATAAGCTCTCAGAATCACAGTTAACTCAAATATATATAATGGGGTTGATAATGCCTGATTCTCAATGGCATGAGAAATTTAATTCATGTGAAAGCTCCCAGCAAGGGCGAGAAAATAACATTATTTAATTCTCAATCTGCTTGAATAATAATTATTTCTAGAAGTTTACCATTATTTTAGAAGGGAACATATTAGCAATTCTAGAGGTGTTAAGGCATTTTCCAAAATATTAATGCAGATGGATATTTGCTATAATCCTACAATTTTATGCTTTTCTTCAGATAGGCGACAAGTCATAAGACTTGCTAATTATGCCATCTTGTTCTTATCAAAGGCCAAATTGTGGATTCTACCAGTAACATTACATATCACGCCTGATTTGCTCCTAAATGAAGAGTAGCTCTCAGTTTCTTCAGCAAGTAACCCAAAGTGGGAACTTGAAAATCACGAGATAAGGCAAAGTATGTAAAAGTTTTTTTTTTTTAGTGGGCATGGGTTTATATGTGTGTGCCAGCGCATACTCAAGAGTGGTGAAGGACAAAATAAAGAAGGATGAGAAAACAAAGATGCTAATCTAGAACAGTTCTTTAAGGCATTCTTCTTTGGCACTGCATTCTTGTATAAGAACTATCCCTCACTAACTAAATTCTATGCTTGTTTATTCCCCTTTGGAAAAAATCATAAGAACAGGCCTACCAATAAAGTGTAAAATATGAGTAATAGTTATCCTTCCTAAGTATAATAAGTCTTGTAGAGCAATGACAGTGAAACACACTCAGCTATGTGTATAACCAGCCTACTCCTTGAATCTGGGGAAGAAGCCCAGTACCTCCTAGAAAAGATCTCCAAACTCACAGAAGGAAATTCCCTATAAACCTGGTTGCATTGTTTTCATAGGGGCCAGACCAATCCTGCTGATATGTAAGTGAGTGAATTTTGTTTTTATGGTAGGTTTGACAAATACTTATTGATTGATCACTACATCAGAGTACCATGTGGATATGTCAGTGCACAAATAAAAAGTTATTTCCCTCATGAAGCTTATAGTATAGTTGAGAAAACAGAAAGTATAGGGCAATCATATAATTTATTATTGAAAATCAGACACTTTGAGAGTGAAAGGAGGCTCTATGAACAGTTAACCTGGAACAAAACTGCCTGGGGCAAACTGAAATGTATATTCAAATACCCTAAAGATAAAGAAATGCATATAATAATTTTACACAAAAAATGGCAAAAAGAGTGTACAATCATAACAACTTTACTCTTTTTCACGGGTTTTTTAAAGTTTTGCTTCCCTAGCACTGTATGAAATTTCGGCCAGTCTCATGACTTCTCCTATGTTCTTTAGTCACAAGAACAGTTCTGTACAGTAATTCAAATATCCTCTCCTGCATAATAATTAAAGCTCCCAACTTCATTTCCCTTAAAACAGTGGTTCTCAATTTCGGAAGGGCAGTGGTAAAAAAAAAAAAAGAGAGAGAGATTTTGCCCTCAAAGCCATCAGGGAATATCTGGAGACATTTTTAATTGTCACAACTAGGGACAGGAGATGCCACAAGCATGGTGAGACACCAGAGATGATGCTAAGCATCCTGTAATGTACAGGACAGCCACCTATAAAAATGAATCATCTGTTCCAAAATCTCAGTAATGTAGAGCTTGAAAAACCCTGCTGTAAGGCAACTGTTCTCTCCTAGTTGGAGCTTACTTTAGGCCTAAAAATCTGCAAAGGCAACAGGGGGGAAGTAAGATCCCTCTTTCTCCCTTAACTTCATTCCTCCAGCAGTAGTTCCTCTTTTGATTTAGACCTAGAGGAATAAGGGTCTAGGAATCAAGGGCATATACTTATACCTGTTAATTATAATCTGGAATTTTTCTTTTTTGGATGCAGTGGACACACAATTGCTGTCAGTTTTAGTGTTGTTAGTTGTGTTGTTTTAAACAACACCAGGGTAATAATTAGCAGTGTACAATGCCTCTCCGGGTCAAAAGACTGGGAAGTGTTGATTAAATTTAGAAAAGAGGAAGTTCTTGATGACCTGAGTTGGAACTGTGTAAAGTTAGAACTGAGAGAGTCATAAGCAAAAGCCAAATTAAAGAATGAATAGTAGACAAATCATAAGAAAAGTGTTTCTATAGGCTCATTTTTCTAAACATTTGGCTCATGTTGGCACAGGAGAAGCTGCCTACATGATAAAATTAGAGAGAAACAGCCTGAAATATATGTCAGTAGAATAAATTATTGGTGTTCTGAGCTTTGCCTTATGAAGGCTCTCCATTAAAAAGTAAGTTAGTTAGCTGACAAGCCATCATCTGAAAGCCCATTAATATATTTGCAGTGACTAGTTTATCAATTCCTTGGTGAAAGTCTGGGACCAGGACAAGCTCACTGTGAAGTGCATTAAGAGTGTGAGTATATGCAAGCAAGCCCAGACATTAGTGGGAGAGGAAGATGTGGAATAAAAAGAAAACAAAATATGTAACACTAAATATAGTCTGAGAGGATTGTGTTGGAGATAGTATAGAGATTCCAAGGACCTGGGGAGAGAAGACAAGAAAGCTTCTTTGCAGGACACCTGTGGTAGCAAATCCCCAAACTTTGACAGATTTTACCCCAGATTCCCTTCATATTATATACAACCCTTCTTGAGAGAAGTAAAAGCAGAAGTCCCGGGATTTGCCAGATTCTGTGGCCTGTACACCTGGTAGGCAAGACTGGCTCAGCGTGTGGCTGGTCTCTTGCAGAGGTCATCAGAATTATCCATACATGATCAAAACTTTTCACTGGCTAGCTGAGCAAAGACCATTGTCTGCCAGCAGCATCAAGTTCCTAACCCTGCCTGGGGCCTTGGCCACTCAGGCACTTAAATGTTGATATCAAATAATCCCACCAAACCTCACCCCCCAACCCCTGCCATCCTGCTGCTATAGCATGATCTATCCTATCCTATGTGGCTACGTACATGTGCCAAGGGTAGGGGAGTCTTTATAATATGGATTCCTGAGTCATCTCATTTCTGCTATTTCATTTTTAGTAAGACTGGATTGGAACAAAGTGTCTTAGTCAGCTCCAGCTGCTGTAACAAATTACCACACACTGGGTGGCTTAAACAACAGAAATTTATTTTCTCACAATTGTGGAGGCCAGGAAGCCCAAGATCAGGGTGCTGGCCTGTTCATTTCCTGGTAAGGGCTCTCTTTCTGGCTTGCAGGTGGCCACCTTCTTGCTGTCCTCATCTTCACATGGCCTTCTCTAGAGGCATGTGTGTGGAGAGAGAGATAACTTTCTCTCTCCTTCTCTTCTTATAAGGACACTAATCCTATCAAATTAGGATTCCAACAATTTAACCTTAACTACCTCCTAAAAACTTTCTCAAAATACAGTCACATTGAAAGTTAGAGCTTCAACATGTGAACTGAGGGGGAACAATTCAGTTCATAACATTCTGCCCTCACCCCCATAATTTGTATTCTGATATGCAAAATACATTCATTCCACCCCAAGAGACCCCAAAGTCTTAACTCACTTCAGCATCAATTCTAAAGTCTAAAATCCAAAGTCTCATCTAAATATCTCCTAAGTCAGATATGGGTGGGGTTGGAAGTATGATTCATCCTCATGCAAAATTCTGCTCCAGCTGTAAATCTGTGAAACCTGATAAGTTATGTGCTTCCAAAAGACAATAGTGGGACAGTCATAGGATAGACATTCCTATTCTAAAAGGAATAAACCGGAAGGAAGAAAGTGGTGACAAGATCCAAGCAAATCCTAAATCTCTCAAGGAAAACTCCATAAAAATCTAAAGCCTTGATAGTAATCTTGTTCTTTGGCTTAATGTTCTGCCTTCTGGACTCACTAGGGTGCTGGGTGAGGCTTCCAGACCCACCAGGATAGCATGTCCTGCTCCTAAGGCTCTGCCAGGTTGAGATCAAACTCCCATGGCTCCAGGCGACCCTGCCCCGATGACTCTGGTAGGAGGCCATCTGGGTTATTAAAGACAAGTCAGTGGCTCTGGTTACCTTTGAATTGCCTTTGGATTCTTCTTCCCTTTTGTTGAAGAATTGATACATTCCCAGGCGAGGAGCATTATCATCCTGTCCTGTAGAATGTAAGAAGTATTATGGTCTTCCTTGATTTCATTATGTCTCCATTCCCATCACTTGAAACTGGCAGTGTCTCTGTTCATATAATCCCATAATTTCTTTAGCGGTAGTCCAGCCACATCCTTGATGTTTTCTTCTGAACAGGCTTTCTCAATTTTTACATTATGGATAGGATAGAATTTTCCAAATCTTTAAGGTTTAATTTTCTTTTGCTTAACAATTCCTTCTTCAATACACCTCTCTTATTTTGCATTTTACTATAAGCAGTAAGGAGGGCCCAAGCCACACTTTCAATACTTTGCTTAGAAATCTCCTCTGATAAATATTCAATTTCATCACTGGCAAGTTCCACCTTTCAAAAAAACCACTAGAACAAAGCTCAGCCAAGTTCTTTGCCACCTTTATCACAAGGATTGCCTTTCTTCCAGGTTCCAATAAGTTTTTTTCTATCTGAGATCTCACTAGAATGGCCTGTAAGGTCCATATTTCTATCATTTGTTCATGATTATTTGTGTATTCTCTAAGAACATGGAAGCTTCTCTCCATATTTCCTTTTTTTCCTTGATGTTTCACCAGAATCACCTTTAACATCCGTATTTCCAGAGTGTACCTCAAAACTCTTCTAGCCTACCATTACCCAGATCCAAAGCTGCTTTCATATTTTTAGGTATTTGTTACAGCAGCAACCCTGCTTTTTGGTGCCAAAATCTGTCTTAGTTTGGGCTGTCATAACAAAATACCATAGCTCGAGTGGCCTACACAACAGAAATTTATTTATTTTCTCACCGTTCTGGAGGCTGGAATTGCAAGATCGGAATGGCAGCATGGTTGGATTTTGAATGTGAGGGCTGTCTTCTAGGCTTGCAGGCAACCACTTTCTTGCTGCATCCTCACATGGCCTTTTCTCAGTGTGCACAGGTGTGGAGAAAGAGACAGAGAAAGAGAACGCTTTTTGTCTTCTTATAAAGGCCACCAATTGCATTGGATTAGAATGAACCTTTATGAGCTCATTTAAACTTATCTCCTAAAATCCCTACCTTCAAAAACAGACACATTGGAGCTTAGGAATTCAATGTATGAATTTGAAGAAGGGAGACAATTCAGTCCACAGAACCAAGGAATCTGCATTTTCTGCCAGCATCCAAGATTAGTCTAAGGTATGTGGTTTAAGGACTTGGCTTTGAGAGGCCCTGCTTCAGAACACATTCCCATGCATCCTTCCTAAAATGAATACAGACTGAATTGTAATTGAATGTAGTTCTAAAATACACAATACAATACCATATAAATAACTACTACTGCATGTCAGGGCTGGTAAGAATATTATGCATTACAAGCCGTCATACATATGAGAAAACTGAAGCCTGTGATGCTGAGTAACTAAAGAATGTTTTCCTTGAGTAGATATTTAGATAACCTTTGAGAAGCATTGAGATGTGGTAAAATTTTTTTAAAGTTACTAAATAAGACAAACATACTTCCAAACATTTACTTAAGGAAACATGAGATAAAGTTCAGTAGAAACTGTTGCTAACTAAATGCAAATAGTTGGTTAGTGTGTACAGCAATTATCTCTTACTCAAAGAATTACATATCAAATCCTGCATACATCATTTCATTTGTGAAGGAAAACAAATTCTCTTAAATCCACCACCAAGTTATCCAACACAAATTGTCCAAACATTTTGCCAGTGGGCTAAAAGCCAGCTGACACACTTCCACTCACACCATCCAACCATCCACATTACTCTGTACAACGTGCTGGGCCATTATCACAAATGTTTGTGTCATCTATTAACGATATTATCATATGTTATCTTCTTCCCTCTGAACGTATTACCAAGTCAACCATTTAAAATATGAATAGATCTTCTGTGTTTTCTGTTGTTTGTTTTCCAGAAGAAAAACAACATTGTGAATTGTGTCTTGGTAGCCTTCAAAACTAAGCAGAATTGCAGGAGGAATGCTATTTGCCACTGAGCAGCCCAGCCATGATTGGATTCAATGGGTGATGAAGGGTACTTTGAAGCACTTAGCTTGCCTCCATAATGTGAAATCTATGGAAACCTCTGGAAATAAGTATATTTCTATGTAAAGATATATATTTTTTGAAATTTCCATCTAGCTCAAACTGGGCCAAAGATAGTGTTTTTGATTTGCAACAAAAGATAATTTCTGTGGGGGAAAAATTTTCTAGTTCTATGGATTCTTGAAGAAAAAGGAAACTTGAACTGAGGAGTGCCGAGAATGAAGAGAGGATCATCTAAATTAATTTACCATTAACTATGAGAGCATGCTTCTCAAAGCGTTACACATATATATCTTTATTATAAATAACTGGAGATGCTTTTGAAAAAAACACAAATTTCAGGACCTTTATTTTCAGGATTTAGATTTCAGAATGCTTCACCAAACTCCAAAATCTCAAAAATCAGAGCCTGGACTGAACATTTTCTAAATAGCCCTCCAACTGACTTTTATGCACATGAGAGCTTTACCCAACTGTTGAGGGGATTGAGGGGCATAGAATGAAAGGAATATAAATTAACATCTTATTTTATCATATCATCCATGATTCTGTAGCCCAAGAAAACCCGAGAGAAGTCAATGTAATGCATGAACTCCTACAAAAGTAAAAATAATAATGTTTAGTTTAGATCCTATTACCTACCTCAACTTAGATTCTATATTTCTTTTCTTTCTAGCCCCCTGGTGGCTCTTGTTCATCATGTTGCCTTTTCAACCATCAAATGATTCTCCAGGTTGGATCCTAGCTCACTATTAGGCTCCAAATGGGTTGAATATCAACACAGGAAGTTTGTCCTCAAAAGACAAGACAGAGTCAGTTTCACTGTTTTTCTTCCTCTGTGTACCCTCTCTTTCTCTCACATAGAGAAGAGAGTAAAGCACAGTGCGTCTATTTTCACTTTTACTTATGACTACAGGCTGGTTGCTAGTGGATTGGTGAGTTGCTAAAATAACTAAAAAATAACTTGTCAACAGATCAGTATTCTTCTAAGTGGCCTAGTTGCCTTTCAACATTCAACACCTGGCAACACTGAAAAGCTCTTACATACCTTATTTATTCTATTCTAAAATGTACTTTTTTCACATTTTGACATCTCTGAAATCAAAGCACATCTTACAATTGAAATTATCTTTAAAAATTAGGGGTATTTTCTGGCAGCTGCAAAGGATGTTATCACTATTTTCCCAATCCTTCTCCCTGTGCGGAAAGTGCTGTTCCTTTTCTCCATCCTTCTCTTTGCAAACCAAAGAGCTCTTGGACTGTAAACTCAGGTGTTTTATGCCAAGCAGAATCCAGTATATTTCTTTGCACCATTGGTTGGCTCTGATATTTGCCAGCTGAAATAGTATAACCATTATAGATTCTTTAAGTTGGACTTTAAAGAGCTCTTTCAGTGCATATACAGTGATAAAGAAGTCTTAGTTGTTACACTTTTCTTTCTTAGTGATACCTAAAATAATGGTGTGTCTTACATTTAATGGCATGTTAGATCAGTTGAAATTTAGAGGACAGTGACAAATTTTACAAATGGAAAGGTGAATCTGTGAGATAAGAGGAGCAAGGGATCTTTGGTCCTCTTATGTGGGCTATGCCCCTCCCCCACCAACGAACATTTAAGATACTTAAATTTAAATTTTTCATCTTGCTTCTGCTAGTATAATACCTGAGGACTCCCCTAGAAGCTATTGCCACTTCTCACCTAGAGACTGACCTTGCTTTCATTTCTGTGTTATTGTTTCTATGGCCACTAATCCAATCATGCCACTTCTGTATTCATCAATGCAGCCCTCACAGAAAAAGAACTATCTGTTTCCACCTGTGTGGCAGCTCGCCTATTACATTCTCCAAATGCTGCCATTGCTGGTTTTGTTTTTTCCAGTTGTCTCTCTTGAGAAAACTGGACACATTTCTTCAGAGTTCAGTTGGAGGATATTTTGAGAGGCACCATCCAGAATCACACCAAAACATCTGTCAACTCTGAAAATTAACACATTTTTAAAAACAAAGGTCAGGTCTAATTTTTTAGAAGAAACTACTACAGTGGTAGAAGTAATTCCATAGCACTTTAGGATTATTTCATCATAGTCCAACAAAATTAAAGGTTTTGATTTAGTGCAAGATGGTACTCTGTGCAACCATAGTCTGAACAAATCTGGTTTCCAATTTCAGTTCAAAAATTATCTTGGCCACCCCCACTTAAGCATCTTCCACACACACAAAAATGGCTCTCCAGGGAATACTTGGATGACTCCTTTATTGTCCTGATTGATTCCCATTAGACTTTAAAATTGGTATAGCACTGTAGCATGACTACAGTTAATAATAATATATTATATAATTTCAAATAACTAAAGGAGGATATTGAATGCTCCCAACACCAAGAAATGATAAATGTCTGATATGGTGAATATACTAATTCCCCTAATTTGATCACAATACATTACATGTATTGAAACATCACTATGTATCCCATAAATATGTACAATATTATATGTGAATTTTAAAACTTTCTTAAAAATTAATAATTGGAGAATTTAGCCCATTTACATTTCAAGTTAATATTTTTATGTGTGAATTTGATCCTGTCATTATGATGTTAGCTGGTTATTTTGCTCATTAGTTGATGCAGTTTCTTCCTCGCATCGATGGTCTTTACAATTTGGCATGTTTTTGCGGTGGCTGGTACTGGTTGCTCCTTTCCATGTTTAGTGCTTCCTTCAGGAGCTCTTTTAGGGCAGGCCTGGTGGTGACAAAATCTCTCAGCATTTGCTTGTCTGTAAAGGATTGTATTTCTCCTTCTCTTTTGAAGCTTAGTTTGGCTGGATATGAAATTCTGGGTTGAAAATTCATTTCTTTAAGAATGTGAAATATTGGCCCCCACTCTATTCTGGCTTGTAGAGTTTCTGTGGAGGGATCAGCTCTTAGTCTGATGGGCTTCCCTTTGTGGGTAACCTGACCTTTCTCTCTGGCTGCCCTTAACATTTTTTCCTTCATTTCAACTTTGGTGAATCTGACAATTATGTGTCTTGGAGTTGCTCTTCTCGAGGAGTATCTTTGTGGCGTTCTCTGTATTTCCTGAATTTCAATGTTGGCCTGCCTTGCTATGTTGGGGAAGTTCACCTGGATAATATCCTGCAGAGTGTTTTCCAACTTGGTTAAATAAAAATGTACAAAGAAAAGAAAAGAGATGATGGGGTTGGGCAAGGGACTTGCAGTTTTGAAAGACATATCACCCATTCACCATATATGGACTTTAATCAAACAAACACATTATAAAGTACATTTATGACTCTTATGAAATGATTGGAAATTTTAACAACTACTGAATATTTGATAATATTAAAGAATAACTGCTGATTTAAAAAAAATAAGATAAAGGTCAAGTATATATTTTATCTTAGTATAAGTTCCCTGTCAATTTTGAAAACTTCCAGGAAGAAGACTCTTCTAGCCAGAGAATCTGATTCTAAATCATTTCCACCTGTCTTCCCAGAAGACCCCTAAGGTCCACAGGCTGACATACCTCCCTGTCTTAGTCAACTCAGGCTGCTATAACAAAATACCATAAACTGGGTGGCTTATAAACAATATATTTTTTTTTCTCACAGTTCTGAAGACTGGGAAGTCCAAGATCAAGGTGCTGGAAGATTCAGCGTCTAGTCAGTGCTGGCCTTCTCAAAGATGACGCCTATGGTTGTGACTGTGTCCTCACATGGTAGAAAGGGAAACAGCTCTTTGGGGCCTCTTTCCCGAGGGCACAAATCCCATCCATGGAGACACAAACATTCAGACTATACCACTCCTTAAACAAGTATCTCAGCAGTACATAGGCAGATGGATCTTGCCCAGCACTAGCCATTCTGTACTTGTATATCTGTCTGTTAGTTGTTTACCTGGCTGTCTTCTCCTCTGGACTGCAAGCTCTTGTAAGCTATGGTTTATGGCTATTCACTTATAATCTCCTCAACATCTAATAAAGTCCTGGTCCCCAGGTGACTATAAATACTGCTTGCTGAGCATATTAACAAATGATTATGATTACTATAAACACATAGACTATTAGAGCTAGAATATTAAATATTGTTTAGCACAAAAATCTTATTGAATATCAGAAAAACTGTCAACTCTCTTGATCATGTTCCTAATAAACAGCAGAACCACAAAGACTCAGACTAGGGTCTACTGATAACAATTATTTGACTATTTCCATTATAACCACAATGATTTGGTGCCCTGTCATTCACAATTTTATTAAGATACTTCTATGTATAAATGAGGGCATTAAAGCAATACGTGTATTACTCTTTCGTCTTGCAGTAACGAAAGACCAAGACCTAAAAGACCCACAGGTTGTCTCACTTAAACAATCAGAAGCAAATAACTGATTAACTCTTTACAGAACTTCTATTTTTACATTGTTACTATAACAAAGCAAATACATGATTTTGTATAATGTAAGCTTTAGTCCAAGTAAGAAACAGGCAGGACACAATTTTGTCTCTAAATTGAAATTAACATGTATCTTATTTGCCTCGACTTTAAAGCAAAGGATTATAATGACCAACTCCAAGATTTCCAGCCAGAAGGAAACCTACAAAGAATGAGATGACAATACCCACATATTGTTCAGTGTTACAGATCCTTATCAGTTTTTCAATAGGATGTGGTAACAGTAATTCTGGAATGCTGAAGCTAAGCACCAACTTTTACAATAAATGTTTACAGAGCTTCATTATCAAATTCTAAATATTATCACCATCGCTTTATAATTGCATATAGTACAAATAATGATAGCCACAATTTTCAATCATTGTGCAATTTAGAGAGAAAAGAAACACTTTACTACAGACAAGAACATTTCCTCCCTGAGGTTCCATATAGCAAAGAATTAAAATAAAACTGCTGATGGTTAGATATTCTCTAACTGGCTGCTATTCATATAATAGAAAACCTTCAAAATGCAACTCCACTGTTTCTGCCCCATATTCACCTGATTTCTTCTAAAGGCACCAGTTGAGTTTATCTGACAGTAAGTACTGATTTGCAAGGAGGTGGGGGAGGAAGGCAAGACATTATGGTACTAACATTAAAGTCCCAGCCTTCTCCCAAACTGCATAAGGCCCTGATTTCTTTGCACAATAAAATGTGCAAAGACATATCAGGATCACTCATTTCAGCTCCATTACTGGTAACTGATCACACTGCCCAGAGGAAATCAGTATGCTTGCTTTTCATGAGCCAGACTGGACAAAGGTCACTATTCACAACTCTCCTTTATAATGAACTAATTATAAAAACAATAGGTATTCGATGAAAAGCATGGCCAAGGAAACATGCTTGTCCTTATTCTTTTGAACTTTCAACTGTACAGAGATACAAAACTAACTTTTCTCTGCTAACTCATATTACAACAAAATCTTTTTCGTAACCTTCATTTCAAATTCTCTTCCAAAAATTGATTATAAAATTGTTCATCTCATTCTCTCCAATACAACAGATGCCCACGCCAAACATTAATAGAAGTGTCCACCCCCTCAAAAGTGTTCTAAGGGAGCCTCCCTCTAATTGGTTTGCACGTCTTGCAAAGAAAATGCCAGCATACATGTATAAACAGACTGACAGGTTGTCTGATTCCACTGTGACTCTTACAAGTCCCTGTGTTCTGTGAGCTTCCAGAACGTCTTCCGGCAATGCTCATTAGCAAAACACAGCTGATACCTCGCCAAAGGTAATTGGTTGGGGGTAGGGTGAGTAGGAAAGGATATACATCCTTTTTCTCCCTAGATCCCAAAGTCCAAAAACTATAAAATCCTATATATACTTTAACATTAAAATACCCAGAATCATGAAAACACACACACACACACACACACACACACACACACACACACACACACAGCAGAAACTTCTCTTCACTAAGAAGTTTGTCAATCTGGTTCATACTCCATCAGTGAAAGTTTCAGATCTCATATCCTGCCTAGAGTCATATCAAAGATTAGAGCCAACACATATTGGCACTATTCAAGGTACTGACTACAGATATTAACCCATAGTCAAGGATGACCTTTCCTGACAGATTTTAATATACTGACTTCTTACAGACTTTACACAGTCTTAATATACTATCTGTTACCCTATCCCCAAAGGTTGTGATTCATTTAGTTACAACCACTTTAAAATGAATCCAGTACATATTGCAATATGTTCAGAAGTGGCTTATGGCAAAAGGGATTGTATAATTATTCCCTCCCAGCTATTCAGTTTTGCTGACAGTAGGTAATAACTGTGTAGACCTACACCCTACATAACACTACGGGGCCTTTCAAAGCAACAGATTTTGAAAAAAAATAAAATAATTGCCGAAAATGGCAGCAGCCACCACCAAGCACAGAACACTTAAAACACAGTTTGAGTTTTGTCAGGAGGGGTGTGGGGATGAGGTAGAGAAAAAGAAATATGTATGTGGATTTGTATTTGTTGTGCACCTATATGATTAAAAGGATAATTCTGCAGTGATTCTCTGAATTCCTATGAAAATTTCTACAATTGTATTTCCTTTTAAAGAATACATTAGATCATAAAATCTCATCTAGAAAGAGACGGTATATATTAGATTGCTACTTACATAGCCCTGCTCTTCCCTTTTACCCTCCCACACTGTGACTACCAAGGTTACAAACAAGTCCAAAGAAATGTTGAGAAACAGGCTAAAAACCTGTCCTGCAAGCCCCCAGAGATAAGTGGTAGACTCATTACTCACAGCTGTACCTTCTCACTCTGGCTCTCCTTGCCAGGAAGCTTTTATAAGCACTTCACTCTTTTATACCCCAAAAAATAATCAACTAAAAATAACCTAAGTGATGATATATAAATTATTGGGGACAAATCATCTAAGAGTAGTGGACTCAGAGGGAGCTCCTGACCCTATGAAAGAGGTAGTTGGAAAAGAAAAGAAAAGAAAGGAGGTTTCTTCTACAGCTGAAAAGCTATTATAAGGGATATTAAAGATGAATAAAATACGACACAGAAAAAAGAATTTAATCTGTAAACTTCCCATGCAATAAGATAGTACTGACAAGATCTCAGCCCCTCTACTTATCATCACATTAATACATCTCTATACGCATTGGTGCCACAGCAATCTCCATTGTGTCTGTGTCTTGGAAGGCACCGCATAATACTGCTTTCTTCCTTCTGTGACGCTTCCTCTAATGACCAAGCAGGATGGGTCAGAGGGAAAGATTTTAAGGCAAAGATATCATCTGAGTCCTCTTACCATGAATAAAGATGAGAAGACTCTAATACCACGAAGGGAAAAGTGAAGCTGGTAGAAATACATCATGTGTTGGAGAAAAGGCGATTTAGAGTTATGCTGACCGTCACTGGCCCAGATAACATTAGCTTATTTTGTTATCTCTAACTTCCTTCAATTTCTCTGCATCTACAGGATCTCTGTAACTATTTCCTCTCTTTATTGCGTGACTCTTGTTCTGAAATCATTTCTTTATTTTTATGCTTAGATATATGTTGGAATGAGGCAGGGCATAAATTCATGGAGTCATTTAAGACATTAAGTTGAGGAATCTCATAAATATAAACTAAATACATGATTGTCAAATTCTAAGTATATTTATAGCAAATGAGGACAACATATAGCTCTATGCTTCCTAGTAGCCAATGTGAAACAGGAAATATGACATATTACTTACCATTCATTATGTAATGTATCTATACATTATATATGTAATAAACTATGAGCACTATTTTAAGTGCATTCTGGACTGAATGTCTGTATCCTCCCAAAGTTCATATGTTGAAATCCTAACGTACAATGTGATAGTATTTGGAGTTAAGACCTTTGGGAGGAAATTAGTTCATGAGGGTAGAACCTTCCTGAATGGAATAATGCCCTTTTAAGAAGAGACAAAGAGCTTGCTCTTGCCCTCTGTCTCTTCCATGTAAGGATACAACCAAAAGATCACCTTCTGCAAACCAGGAAGAGTGCCTTTACTGACATGGATCTACCAACACCTTGATCTTGAACTCCTCAGCCTCCAAAACTGTGAGAAATAAAGTTCTAGTGTTTACAAACCACCCAGTCTATGACATTTTATTATAGCAGCCCAAAATAACTAAAACAGTTAGGGAAGACAAATCTTTTACACACAGTATTCTAAGATGAGTTTATCGTGCATTTTTATGTAAGGATGACCAAAATATAAAAATTATGGGCAAAGTCTTCTCACAGGTTGCTAATAAATGTTGCAGAACCTTTATATAGACATAACTTAATATAATTCTCAGTGAAGTTAAAAGCATAATGTTAAAGCATGGAGCAAAATCGTTTCCACAAGGTCTGTATATATGGCTATCTGGTGGTCTAACTTTACCTAGGCTTGAGAATCCAGAAGAAAGTATGTTCGGCACCTCAACATTCGCATCCAAGAACAGTCCAAATGTGATAAGAGACTGAATACACGGAAGAATCTCAGAGGGAAAGCCAACAGGCCTCCCAAACTGAGGATAGTGTTGTCAGTAGATCTCTCCTTGGAGAAAAGTAGAGAAAGCCAAGATCAGAAGGCCACATATAAAAAAAAAAAGTCAGGGTCAAGAAATTACCAACTGGGAAGGGTCTAGACAAGCAAGAGTTGACACTGAGAAGCAAGCTAATGCATCAGAGTATAAATGGGAGAAGGAGATCCCAGAAAAAGGACACAAGTGATAACCAATCCCTTAAGTCATTCATTTTATTTAAGCCTTAGGGAATCTCTCTGGATTGATGATTAAACATAGTAAAATATCATCTAGATTTTTGTTTTTGGTAAAAAAAAAAAAAAAAAGGCAATTTAAGACTAAAGTCACAAGGAGTGAATGTTTGAATCACACAGACATTCTGTATGGAAGTAACATACCTTTTTCTGTAAGGACCAGATATGAAAGTGGGAGGATGATATTTTCTTTTGAAAATTAGTGTATGTTTTGTATTCTTATCCTGAAATTGGAAAGCCATCCAGAAGGCATTTGGAGCACTGTGGTGGTATTTAAAAATCAATGTCACAAAACTTCTGCATCAATTTCACAACGTGAGCTCTCAGAAGTTATTCAGGGTCATGGACTGTGGTCTCCACAAGGGCTTGGCAGAGAGGATGGATGGGAGTTGAAACCCATTCATGAGTCTTCATGAGTCTCTGTTTCAAGATCATGGGTGCCCTGAAGAAGGGGGACCTTTTTCCTATTGCTGCAAATGCTCCAACAAGATTGGCAGAGGCTCTGGGGGCCACAAAGGAAGAGCCAAACCAGAATTCAGACAGAGGCAAGGGTTTGGCAGGAAAGGGCAAGTGATCCACCAGGGACGGATATACAAAAGAAAAAATTCCCAGAAGAGCCAGCAGTAGCTGCAGAGCTGCATAGAAAGAAGCCGTATTGGTGAGCACCATAATTTAGCACCATTCCCACATGAAAACTGAAACTATAAGCAATGGGGGCTGTTACAAGCCACTGGAGACAGAGCTGTCACAATGATTGCTGTACACAAATATAGAAATTTCAATTCTGATTGCATGAGAAATATTGTAGTAGTGACTAATAGCAAATTATAGAAGCCACTTAACAATACCTGTTTTACTTGTAACCTACCATAGCAACTATTAACAGCAACTGTGATAACAATGTGCTCACTAAGAATTAAGAACATTCAAATCTGGAAGAGACAAAGAAGTAAAAAAAGTAGTTTATAGAGCATCTGAAAGCCTGAATAGGCACAGGTGTGACAACTGGAAGTCAATTCTAAGTGAAGAAAGAATGGTTGATAACTGCTGGAGATGTCAAGGATATTTCAGATATGTACACCAAATTCCTTGAAAGCTTTACTCAAATACACTCCAATAAGTACTCAGAACCTGCTTGATGCTAGATTAATGAAAGTTATGATTAAGCAAGAAATTATTCAGGAAGAGATACTGTCAGAGAACTGAAAAAAAAAAAACAACTTTAGTTTTCAAAGATTGAATATAGAAATGCTTAGGAGGGCTTTGGAGCAGTCAGATCTTAGTTTAAATTCTGCCTCTGCCCTTTAGTAACATGTATCTTTGAGTAAGTCACTGAGCATTTTTTAATAATAAGTAAAAAACTGTGGAACTATCAAGTATCCCTTTACTCTCTTAAAAATTATTGAAGAACCCAAAGAGTTTCTGTATACATGGGTTGTAATTGTCTATATATATACAGCTCTGTCAGCCAGGCTGGAGTGCAGTGGTATGATCTCAGCTCACTGCAACCTCCGCCTCCTGGATTCAAGTGATTCTCCTGCCTCAGCCTCCCGAGTAGCTGGGACTACAGGCGCATGCCACCATGCCCAGCTAATTTTTGTATTTTTAGTAGAGATGGGGTTTTACCATTTTGGCCAGGCTGGTCTTGAACTCCTGACCTCGGGTGATCCACCCGCCTTGGACTTTCAAAGTGCTGGGATTACAGGCATGAGCCTCTGCACCTGACCAGTATTCACTATACTAAACATTTAATAATATGAGAATTATTTTTTTTAGATGGAATCTCACTCTGTCACCCAGGCTGGAGTGGAGTGGTGCAATCTCAGCTCACTGCAACCTCCGCCTCCTGAGTTTGAGTGACTCTCCTGCCTCAGCCTCCTGAGTAGCTGGGACTACAGGTGCGCCACCATGCCCAGCTAATTTTTGTATTTTTGGTAGAGATGGGGTTTCACCATGTTGGCCAGAATGGTCTCGATCTCTTGACCACATGATCCGCCCACCTCGGCCTCCCAAAGTGCTGGGATTACAGGTGTGAGCCACCGCACCAACTGAGAATAGAAAAAAAAAAAAAAAAAAAAAAAATATATATATATATATATATATATATATATACTCATTGATTCATATAAACATAACAATAATAAACCCATGACATGTTAACATAAGATATTTTTACGTAAAATACCTATATTCAAAAATAGTGAGAATCACGTCATGTTTATGTTTACAAATCTCTTTAATGTTGTGAATTAATAGAAGACAGCTGGATGCTTCTGCGTTCAATCTGTTACAATAGGTTATTTTGGTTGAAGTATATGAGGAAAATCTGGCTACACACAGATATGTTGTTGTGGAAACAAGAAATATTTTAATAGCCTTTTAAGACAGTTATGGATATTCTTCGATACCGAATCAAAATTTGATAGGTGGTAGTGTCTTAAAGGTTAGTTGCAATGTGGAATCTGAAGCCAGATCAGTGAACTTTGTGTGGTCTGCTACATTGAAGTCCACTGGTCTGCCTTGCACTTGAAATGGGTCTTTTATCAGTGCAGCAGAAGTGTTTCTGTAAACATCCCACTTTGCCACACGGAATATTAAAAAGTGATATATTCAAGAGTCATGATTTAATATAATTAGTACTTTTTACTGTTCCTTCAAAGACATTTGAAAGTGAAACTGGCAATTTATTTTTTTTACTATGAGTGTGTGGCAATGAATAATACAATGACTGTGAGTACAATTTCAGGCCACTGCCCCTTCACATTTGTGCTAAGATGAATTTAACTCACTATTGTTTTATACAATCAGTGCAATTGTCACCACAGTGAAAAAGGTCAATATTAAGGCTTTAGTATTATTATGAAAACAATTTACCTTCACAGGATACCTGAAAGTGCCTTGTTGACACTAGGGGTCAACAGACCACACTTTAAGGACTGTTGCTTATTAATTCAGAAACAACAAAGTTCGGAAAGACTACCAGAAAAAAAAAAATCTGAACACCTGTTCTACACAAAATACTATTTTTTAAAAAAAGTGATATTGCCCTTACCTGCAAAAAACCCATAGTCAAATTATGCTGATGAAACAGATGCAAAGAGATAATTCTTAAATGAAGTATTATAACTGCTATCACACTACACAGATAGAGGCAAAAAATAGAGGCAGGATTCTCCTCCCAGGGACTAAGGATATAAAAATGAAATTTATCTTTAAAATATTTTACATAATATATTAATGTGAAATAAAACATGTTCATTATATAAAACTTAAAAAATTATTAAAAAGACAAAAAGAAATTACAATAAGTAGGACCCCAATCAGATTTAACTACAGCTAATAGTTTGACATAATTGATTCTTGTTCTTTTCCATAAACATACACAAATCTTTACTTGTAGATTTGTGATCTTATTATATATATGTAGTTCTGTATGCAGTTTTTAACTTGACATTAACTATGAAGATTTTCCATATAACTTGAGCAAATCTCAGACATACGACTTTTTACAACATTGTGCTATCAGATGGATAAATCATAATTCACTTAACCATCCTTCTATACTGTATTTTGTCTTTCAGGTAGTATGTGTTGTTCTTACAATTTAATATAAACTTAAATCTGTTTCTGCATGTTGGCTTATTTCTCTTCAGGATTTTCCTGAAGTGGAGTCATTAGGTAAAAGGTAAGAATTTTCAGATTTTTTCCATATAAAGCCGAATTTATTTCAAGGAAGGTTATGCTTATCCAGTTGAAGACGCAAAACAAACACGTCTTCCTCCCTTCTCAAGAGTTTCCATTAAAAAGACAAAGTATTTTTGAAAAAATGAAACCATAACATTTTTGAATGTAGAAGAAAAGGTGCCAACATGCTTCATATGAGGAGTATGGAATTTCAGGAATTTCTGAAACATAGAAATCAGAAGTAATTTGGTATAGAATAAAACAGGCCATAAAAAACTACAGTAAGGGAGCTCTGTAGAAGCTTCAAGTTCAAAGTGAGTGAGTACAAGTTCAGAATGGAGCCAAGATAAGCATATGAGTAGATTACTTAAAGCACTATTATTTAGAATGGCTGGACAAGGTATCCCCTTTTCCTCTCCTGCAGATGGAGGCTAGTGACTTTTTTTTTTCTCTCAAGATTAAGGCCAAAGAACATTTCTCCTAAGAAAATGGGTCATCTCCCAGTGGAGAGTTACATGTATGAGTGTTGAAGCCTGAGAGAAAGAAGCCTAACAGCACTTAAGAGAATGTCAAACCTCCACATTATGTGGCAAAAAAGGATACAACACTGGACTAAGAAATTAAATTTACTAAGATTTTCCACTCTCAAAGTAAAGTCCTCCTGACTTGACAATGGAGAGCGTCATGGGACAGCTCACTTTTGGCCCATCAGCACCACTGTGCGGTGCCTCCTGTCAATATGGTGTGCCCTTTACAGTTTTGAAATTAGAATCTGACATTTAATTTTAAATTAAATATCATAATTTAAATAATTAAATTTATTTCATGACCCATTGATAGGTTTTGATTCAGAGTTTATAAACAGTGGATTTAATGGTAGAATAAAACAACTGAAAACTAAGCACATGGTCTGTAGAACAGAAGTAAAGTCTCACAGAATAAAAAGCAACAAAAACATAGATAAAGAGTATAAATTTAGGTCACAGATGAAAAATCCAGGAAGCCCAACATCCATGCAGTAGGAACAAAATGGAGAGAAGAAAGAAATAATGGAAACAATAAAAGAAAGCAAAACAGAAAGACACATACTTTTAAATGGGAATGGTTCAAGTAGGGCTGAGCAAGATAAATAAAATTTAAAAAACAAAACCAGAGACATATGCTTACAAACTTCCTGATGAGATTTCAGAATTCCAAAATAAAGAAAGGACATTAAAAGCATCTAGAGAAAATAAACCAATTACATACAAACCAACAGGATCCATATGTGCATCTAACATCATACTCCTCATTATCTTCAGTTTCTCACTAGCAATATATACACAAAAATATGAAAAAGCAAGATTTTTTAAATCTTAAAGAAAAACACTGAATTTATAATTTTATACCCTGCCAAACTAGGGTAAGAGGAAAATAAAATCATTTTTGCAAATGCAAGCAAATAGAAAATTTAGCACTCAAACATTCCATGTGAAAGAAATTACTAGACCAGATTTTCCATCAAAATAAAAAAAAACTCCAATAATGATAATGACATAGAGTACAAGAAATACAGGCAGCCAATGGAAAAATAAATACAGAAAATGGTAAATAAATGAGGGAGAATCAATGACAACTTGATGATTGGAAGAGTATCCTTTCAGCAATAAAGTTTGTAGACAAAGAATGTAACTTTTCTATGGGTCCAACTACACTATGCTTTACCATGATACATGTGTACAGAATTATAATATTTTAATAATGTTTGCTGGTTTTCAGTTTTTACTATCAATCTACTAGCAATGCACAAAATAACTACAGTTACAGAATTTGACAAATGCAATAATAATGTATCACATTTTATAAAATGGAGGATGAAAAAGAGGGGGAAAGGTAATGAAGCCTATTAATTCCTTTCCTTTGAGTTCTGATAAAAAATATTATATGTATATAGATACACCTACACATAGGCATATATATACGTACATGCATATATACATCATATATATATATATGTAGGTAATAAATCAAGAAATCTAGAATAATTAGAAAAATAAAAGCTTACAAAGATTGGCAGGAAGTTAGGGTGTTTTAAACCTTTCATTTTTCATAAGTTGAAAGTACTACTTCAAGTTGACAAGCAAAAGTACATGAGGGTTTTAAGATTTTAATATTCATCACCAGAACAAAACTAAAACTACTGTTAACAATTGTTGTCTCTGCAAGTGAGATAGGAAAGAAAAGGAATTTTATCTTAATGTTTAACCTTCTCTATTGTTTGATGTTCTTTTTTTTTTAGTTTTATTATTATTGAACTTTAAGTTTTAGGGTACATGTGCACAATTTGCAGGTTTGTTACATATGTATACATGTGCCATGTTGGTGTGCTGTACCCATTAACTCGTCATTTAGCATTAGGTATATCTCCTAATGCTATCCCTCCCCCGTCCCCCCACCCCACAACAGTCCCCGGAGTGTGATGTTCCCCTTCCTGTGTCCATGTGTTCTCATTGTTCAATTCCCACCTATGAATGAGAACACATGGTGTTTGGTTTTTTGTCCTTGCGATAGTTTGCTGAGAATGATGGTTTCCAGTTTCATCCATGTCCCTATAAAGGACATGAATTCATCATTTTTTATGGCTGCATAGTATTCCATGGTGCATATGTGCCATATTTTCTTAATCCAGTCTATTGTTGTTGGATATTTGGGTTGGTTCCAAGTCTTTGCTATTGTGAATAGTGCCGCAATAAACATACATGTGCATGTGTCTTTATAGCAGCATGATTTATAATCCTTTGGATATATACCCAGTAATGGGATGGCTGGGTCAAATGGTATTTCTAGTTCTAGATCCCTGAGTAATCGCCACACTGACTTCCACAATGGTTGAACTAGTTTACAGTCCCACCAACAGTGTAAAAGTGTTCCTATTTCTCCACATCCTCTCCAGCACCTGTTGTTTCCTGAGTTTTTAATGATCACCATTCTAACTAGTGTGAGATGGTATCTCATTGTGGTTTTGATTTGCATTTTATCATATGTAAACATATATATATAAGACACATATATATGTGCTTTTTAAAGAGACTTCTCACCATTTTACCCTATCCTTCCCAAAATTATTTTTAAAAATAGTTTTGCTCAATCTATACAAAGAAAAATTTCATTTTTATTTGAATGGTTCCAAATATCTTAAGTGCCCTTAAATTTCATTTGTAAAATATCTATTTATACCATTGGCCCATATGAATTTTACTTTTACTGATTTATAAGAATTATTTGTATACTAAGACAATCAAACCTCTGCTTGTTTTATTTGTGGCAAACCTACTCACTGATTCATTAACCTTGTAATATTATTTCTAGGGTATCTTTTTTACTTTTAAAAAAATCTTTTTTACTTTTACTTTTTTACTTTTCCTTTTATGTATATTCTCAGCCTTGTATATTCTCAGCCTTAGCTTTATACGCACAACTGTTATGCACCCTGCACTTTCATACATTATATATTGATATCCTCGAAATACCCTTCCTATACTTGAATTTGCATTTTATATGGTAGATAATTAAGGATGAATTTGAACCATTTTATGGAAAATTTCCAGGCCCCTAACAGGCTACCTTGAGAGGTAGAGCAGAATGCAGAAGCCAAGACTTTTGTAATGACATTACATTTAGGCAGAATTGCAGTCAAATTCAGAACCCTTTCTCTCTCACCCTGTATGAGGGTGAAGGGGGGTCTCCCAAGAGCCTCTGGGTGCCTGGGGTCTTCTAGCTGCTTACTCAAGCAGGACCACTGATTATATCACAATATGCAAGTTTTCTACCACCATTTTCATGTTGTTTCTTTCTCCATTTTCATTGTGAGCAAGCACTATGAGGCCCCATGCAGTGCAAGAATGCAATAGAAGAGGAGCCCTCAACTGTCCTGTATGACAGGTGCTGGGAGAAAAGCTCACAGAACACCAGTTGCCTCAACTTATGATGATAGAGGTAGACAGCCCACCTTTCCTTCTCTCCTGTTCTGGGCACCAAGCAGGTCCTGGCAAGGAAGTTTAAAGACTGAGTGCTATCTGACTTCTCCCTGTGTGAAATGAGGGTGCAATCATGGGACAGGAAGAGTAGATGCTTGTCTTAATGTGTTCAATCCAAGGGGAAAATGAGAATGACCGGGGGACATAAAGACAGCCTCCAAATAATCTTAGAACTTGTAAAAGCTCTTAAAAGTCCTCTAGATTTCCCTCACCCAAGACGGGGAGGGAATGCAGAAAACATATTGGAATTTTAAAATTGTTTTTCAGCTTTCTAAAAAAAGAAGATACCCCTCCCAAAATAAGCAGGCTTACTTATATTGGGGCATTTAAATTTCAAATACATTTTTAATAATTATTACCTACTAATCTAAGCAAGATTTCATCATGCATACTAATGATTTCCCTATTTGAAAATTCTTCCTGAACCTGGGATATAAGTTAAATATTCATTCATGTACATGTTCTTCCTAGATTCTTTAAAGTTTTTTTATTTATTTAAATTTTTCTGTTTAATCCATGTAGAATTCATTTTGACATATATTATGCAAATATGCTATCATTAGATTTTTCTTTATATAAACCAGTTTTCACAGTTATCATTTATTGAACAATTTATATCCTTCCTGTTCTGTTATAGTTAACAAGAATGCTAACTTATTGGTGTATTTATGGGAATATGTTTTTATTAGTAATAAAAGTACTAGAAGATTCTAGTCATCTGAAAAGCTAAATAATTTATCAGAATGTTGTTGGTTAGAGATGAAATAAGAATGAAAGATGATAAATGTTCTTAAGGATATTTCATCTAGGCCTTGATAAAAGATGAGAAAATAACCTCACAACAAAGCACAACAGACCTTCATAGTAACTGAAACTAAATGTCTGTCTCCCCTGATAGAAATGGATGTTGATCATAGTTTTGTATCCTGATAAATTTCCTCAATTTTAGGTATGTCAGTGCTATCATCACCATATTCTATGGTCTCTATATATATTCTGTTAATTCCATTAGATTGGAGAATATTTCACTGAGGGCCACTTTAATGAACACTCTTAATTCAGTTATTTTCTTTGACTGTACAGGCATGTAATCATATTTTTTTCAAATAATAGTGTTAATTTCCTTTTCAAAATGTGTAAGTTTATTTCAGAACATATGTTATTAGCTAGAACTTTCAGAACAGTGTTTAAATTAAAATAGTGTACAATAATGAGGATCCTCAACTTATCTCAACTACATCTAATAAAGTCACCAGCATTTTATTTTTAAAACTTAATACATTTATTCCAAATTTAATTGTATTCTAAAATAATAATGAATATAAATTTTTGTAGCATCATCAGACTTAATGATGTGGTGTTAGGTTAATACAGTTTCTAATGTGTGACTCTCCTTGCTTCTTTATATAACTTTACTAAAGTGTGGTAAATAATTCTGTGAACTGCTATTTTTTTATTTGTCAATATTTTATTTTGGATTTTTGCTTTTGTATCAGATGAGTGCTTCCAAGTGTTAAACCAAATTAATTTTAAAAACCTGTAACAGTGGCATGTTGTGTGTGTGTGTGTGTGTGTGTGTGTGTGTGTGTGTGTTGTGTTATCTCAGTTAACAGAAAGAACACAGGTGATATCACGACTGGTTCAGCAGGCCAATCATAATCATCAGTAATCTAAGCTCTTTTTTTCTTTCTCCTTCATCATTTTTAACCACAAAGAATTTTGTTTCTTTCCCTCTTGCCACCTCATGTTATGAAATGACTGCAGCCACTCCAGACAACAAGCCCTTGTCTTCTACCTGATCCTTGTATTAGGACACCAATTCTGTTTTCTCTAGTGCTTCCCAGTAGAGATCCCCTTAAGCGCAATTGGCCAGAATTGAGTCAATCAGCCATACCCAAGCTCTAAGGAGGGTTTGGAAGATGAACTGATAGAAAAGAGGAACAAGATTGTCATTCTTAGAATTAGACCAATCATGATTCATCACCTTAAGCTGGGGAGACTGCAGCCAGCACAAAGAAAATGAGGATTCACTAAGCAAAGAAGGGGATGTGGTAGAGATAGCTCAAAGATCAAATTAATATATCTGCCACCAAATCTATTCTATTTTGTCAGACATATAGTGTTTTTGTAATAAATTTATCATATTCAGTGAGCAAAGTTAATACTGGCTCCCTAAAATGGGATGTGCAATATTCTCAATTTTTCATGCTCTGGAAGGGTACAGAGAAGCATTCCTTCTCTAAAAATCTGAAGGAACTCAGGTAAAATCACTTTATTTCAGAAACTTTTATGCAAGGAATAATCTTTTATTATGTACTATTCATTAGAATTGTTGTTCTAGCTATCTTTGATTTGTACTAGAGAACGTTTTGAAAATTTGTATGTTTTCATTTCAGAAATGTTTAATTTCATTTATGTTTTCAAATATAATAGTTTGAAGTTTAAATATTAAAATTTTAAAAACATTGCATTTACAGTCTGTATACCCTTTCTAATTTAACATTAGTTATCTTTTATTCTTAATTTTAAACATTGTTTTAAAGAACGTTATTAAATTTTTTGTTTTTTCTAATTTATTGATTTCTGCCTTCAGCTATTTTACCTAATTTGTTTGCATTGTTTTATTTGTTCTATATTTGTGACTTCAATCTTTAATTAATATGTTTTAATTTTAATGTTTAATAATGAAAGGACATAAAGCTAAGAGTTTTCCCTTATGTTCTGCTTTGGCTGCATCACTTAACATACAATAATTCTAGTTTCCATTTTCTCACTTAGGATATGGATTTTTAGTATTGGAGATTTTTTTTCTCTGAAAGAAGTCACTAATTTCTAGGCTATTTGCCTTCCTTAACATTCGTTCAATGAATATTTACGTTAAAGAATGCACCCTGTATGATTTCAAGTTTAAAAGGATTTTGTAAATCAGTGTTTCTCAATTATTTAAAAGAGGGTGAGGTTTTTGAAAGATTGAGAGTTCAATTTTATGTCTACTATTTTAACCAGGCTAATTTTTCCTAGTTGTGTTATTTTATTTTACTTAGTCTTTTATTGACTAAATAGGATAACAAATTCTTCCAAGACATTTATTTTTTATCAGTTTTGCTTCTAATTCTAACAATGTCTGCCTCATTTTTATTTCTGTTATAAGTTCACTGAGATTTTAATGCTCCTTTAAATAAAAAAAAAAACAAAATCTTTCTGGAAAATACATTTTTATAAAATTCATATAACCATTTATGTTATTTTTCTGTTTGTGTTTCTCTGGGTATTTCCCCTGACTATTTGTTCTTTTAAAGTTCTCTGTTCTTGGGCATGAAGGAAACAGTGAGACTTTAATTTTTAATGAAATGTGAAAGTCTTATGTGCTAACAGAGGAGTTTATTCATTTTAATTGGCAGAATTATTATATTTGTCTTCCATTATACAGTTTTATGCTGTTTTATAATGCTTCCTTTGATTTATAACTGTTTATATTTTATATGGTCTAGTAATTTGCAAGGTGTGAAGAATAACTCCAATAGTGGTTATGTTTACATTTTTAAACTATAAATACCAAACTATCAATAACCTCCCCCTCCAAATTGGAGATTTTTTATTCCCTATCATTAAAGATAAGGAAACTAGAAAAATTTTACCTCTCCGTATCCTCTACCTTATACTTTCTGATCTTTAGTTAATATAATCTATGGGTTTAATTAATTTTCAACTAAATTATTGTGTTTCCATTGTCCACAGCATTTTAAGAATATTAGCTCTTCCACTGAATTTTATCATCAAATTTAACACAGTAATTTTTATTAGATTTGTCTTTATTTAACTCTACTTTTTCTACTTCTCTTTTAATAAAGATTTCCTCATTTTTATTTTTATATTTTTTAAGACAGAGTCTTGCTCTGTCACCAAGGCTAGAGTACAGAGGCCTGAACACAGCTCATTGCATCCTCAACCTCCTGTGCTAAAGTGGTCCTCCCACCTCCGCCTCCTGAGTACTTGGGACCACAGGCACACCACCACCATACCCCGCTAATTTTAAAAAAAAATTTTGTAGTGATGGGGGTCTCACCATGTGGCCCAGGCTAGTCTCAAACTCCTAGACTCAAGCAATCCTACCACCTCAGCCTCCCAAGTGTTGGAACTGGAGGTGTGAGCCAACACACCTGGCCCATTTCTGTATTTTTAACATTTCAACTTTTGGTCATCTCAATTGGGAGTCTCATTTTTTTTTTTCAAAAAAGCTATTGTAATTTGTCTTTTCAATTCAAAAATTTTACTAGCTAATAGCAAGATATACATCTTTTCAACATTTTGTGAATTGCACTGAGTCCCATCCAAATTAATTTTCTTATTTTTTCACTTTACCAATTATTACTAATTGCTCCCAATATTCTGGGAATAGATTGATTTTATGTCTTGGCATTTAATGTTATGAGTTGTTCCACCACCACCCCCATCCTAGTGAAAATTTTAATGGGAATTTAAGGGTTGCTCACAAGATGTCATTTTATCCTAGAACTTGAATATTTGTTTGTTATTTGACAATTGATCCTGATGCTAAACATTTACTTTTTGGTTCAGAAAATAATTCTCAGAAAAGAGAAGAAAGTAACATAGAAAGCAAGTAAGAAATAGCAAAGAAAGAAAATCAAACCTTATTGAATTTGCATGGCAGTTCAACACAGCATGAATGTGGTGAGCACGGTTAGGAAGGAAACTTGTAAAGTTACCAGTTTGTTGGCTTAGAAAATGTTTGAGCTCAGTAACGTGAACTACAGCAAACTGAAGTTTCTAAGACACAATAGCCCATTTTCAATTCTTACCCATTAAGTCCAAATTCCAACCCCATTCTTTCAAAGCTTTGTTTAGTGAGTATGATTATAAAAGCATGTACAACTTGCTGTATCCTTA